>NC_000006.12:160979880-161131396 GCF_000001405.40 Homo sapiens
TGAATTCGGCTCCCAAGGCTGCTATGGCAAAGCACCACAGTGTGGCTTAAAGCAGTGGCTCACGCCTGTAATCCCAGCACTTTGGGAGGCCGAGGCGAGTGGATCACGAGGTCAGGAGATCAAGACCATCCTGGCGAACACAGTGAAACCCTGTCTCTACTGAAAATACAAAAATTAGCTGGGCGTGGTGGCCCGTGCCTGTAATCCCAGCTGCTCAGGAGGCTGAGGCAGGAGAATCACTGGAGCCCAGGAGGCGGAGGTTGCAGTGAGCCAAGATCGCACCACTGCACTCCAGCCTGGGTGACATAGCTAGACTCTGTCTCAAAAACAAACAAACAAGAAACAAACAACAACAACAACAACAACAACAAAACAAAAACAGCAGAAATCTGGGCTTTCACAGTTCTGCAGGTCAGAAGTCCCAAATCAAGATGACAGCAGGCCATGTTCTCTTTGAAGGCTCTAGATGAGAGGATCCTTCCTAGTCTCTAGCATCTGGTGGTCTCTCTCGGTCTATTCTCCCCTTCTTTTTTTTTTTTTTTTTGAGACGGAGTCTCACTTTGTCACCCAGGCTGGAGTGCAGTGGTGTGATCTTGGCTCACTGCAAGCTCCACCTCCCAGGTTCACACTATTCTCCTGCCTCAGCCTCCCGAGTAGCTGGGACTACAAGGTGCCTGCCACAATGCCCAGCTAATTTTTTGTATTTTTTAGTACAGACGGGGTTTCACTGTTAGCCAGGATGGTCTCAATCTCTTGACCTCGTGATCTGCCCAGCTCGGCCTCTCAAAGTGCTGGGATTACAGGCGTGATATTCTCCCCTTCTTATAAGGACACCACTTACACTGACTGAAGGACCCAACCTACTTCAGTATCTTACTCATGTTAACTTGATTATGTCTCTAAAGGCTCTGTTTCCAAATGAGGTCACATTCACAGGTACCAGGGGTTAGGACTTTGCTATGGCTTGAATGTTTATGTCTCCCCCAAAATTCATGCTAGAACTTAAACCCCAACATGATAGTATTAAGAGGTGCTGCCTTCGGGAGGTGATTAAGTCATGAGGGCAAAACCCTTGTGAGTGGGATTAGTGACCTTATAAAAGGGCAACTAGCTTGACCTTTTTTTTTTTTTTTTTTTTTTTTTTTTTGCCCTTCTGTCCCTCCTGCTATGTGAGGATGCAGCACTTTTTCCCTCTGGAGGAAGCAGCTTTCACCTTGGAAGAATCTTGACCTTGCCATTCAAAGTCACCAGACAGGGAATCTGCCAGTGCCTTGATCTTAGACTTCCCAGCTTCTGTAACTGTGAGCAATAAATGTATGCTGCTTATAAACTATCCAGTCTCATGCATTTTGTTATAGCAATATAAACAGATGAAGACAGACATAAACATATCTTTTTGAGAGATGCAATGCAACCCATACCACCAGGATTGCCACATGTTTGCTGATTTCACCTGGTAGCAAGGCTTAGCTATCTTGGCTTGAATGTAATACCTCCATCTTTTCTCTTGGTCATCCTCTTTAAGCAGAGGACTTTTATCTACCCAAGCAGAATCCTGTGTTCTTGCTATTCGAAGTGCAGCCCAGCCTCCTGCAGCCACCACATCACTTGTGATGCTTGACAGAAATGCAGACTCTCTGTTCCCACCTCAAACCTACTGACTTGGGAATCTGCAGCTTACCAAGATCTCCAGGTGATCCACGTACACGTCAAACTTTGAAAAGCAGTGGTTTGCAGAACAAAAAGGATTCAGCTTCTGATATGGTTTGGATTTGTGTCTGTACCCAAATCTCATGTCAAATTGTAATCCCCAGTGTTGGAGGAGGAGCCTGGTGAAAGGTAATTGGATCACGGGGGCAAACTTCCCCCTTGCTGTTATCATGATAGTGAGTGAGTTCTCATGAGAGCTGGTTGTTTAAAAGTTTAAAAGCACCTCCCCCTTCGCTCTCTCTTCCACCTTCTCCAGCAATGTAAAATGAACCTGCTTCCCCTTCATCTTCCACCATGATTATAAGTTTCCTGAGGAATCTCCAGCCATGCTTCCTGTACAGTCTGCAGAATTGTGAGTCAATTAAAACTGTTTTCTTTATACATTACTCAGTCTTAGGTGCTTCTTTATAGCAATGCAAACATGGACTAATATAGAAAATTGGTACCTAGCAGTGGGGCATTGCTATAAAGATACCTGAAAATTTGGCAATGACTTTGGAACTGGATAATGGGCAGAGGTTGGAACAGTTTGGAGATCTCAGAAGAAGACAGGAAGATGTGAGAAAGTTTGAAACTTTCTAGAGACTTGTTGAATGGTTGTGACCAAAATGCTGATAGTGATATGGACAAAGAACGAAGTCCAGACTGAGGTGGTCTCAGATGCAGATGAAAAACTTATTGGGAACTAGAGTAAAGGTCACTGTTGGTATGCTTTAGCAAAGAGACTGGTGGCATTGTGCCTCTCCTCTAGGGATCTGTGGAACTTTGAACTTGAGAGAGATGATTTAGGGGATGTAAACCAAAAATAAAAATATAAGTCCCCCCCAACCATCTGATTGGACTTCCTCCTAGGCCATGGCACTTTAAAATTTAACCTGAAAGACTGGTTCAGGCCATGATAGGAAGTGGGGGTCGGACATGCCTCATTATGCCTGTTCAGCATTAACATCAACACATACCTTAAGTCTGATAAGACATATTTACAATATAATCTCTCTGAAGCCTGCTACCTGGAGGCTTCATCTACATGAAAAAACTTTGGTCTCCACACCTCTTATCCCAACACAGACATTCCTTTCTGTTGATAACTCTTTCAACTGATTGCCAGTTAGAAAAATGTTCAATCTACTATAACCTGGAAGCCCCTGCTTCAAGTTGTCCCACATTTCCAGACTGAACCAATGTATTTCTTAAGTGTGTTTGACTGAAGTGTCATGTCTCCCTAAAACGTATAAAACCAAGCTGCACCCCAACCATCTTGGACACATGTTCTCAGGATCCCCTGGGGGCTGTGTCACAGGCCATGGTCACTCATATTTGGCTCAGAATAAATCTCTTTAACTATTTTACAGAGTTTGACTCTTTTCATCAACAGGTATTTGGCAGAAGAAATTTCTAAGCAGCAAAGCATGAAAGATGTGGCCCAGTTGCTTCTAACAGCATAATCTCATGTGTGAGCAAAGAGACGATCTGAAACTGGAACTTATATTTTAAACGGGAGCAGAGCATGAAAGTTTAGAAAATATGCAGCCTGACGATATGGTAGAAAAGAAAAACCCATTTTTCTGGGGAGGAATTCAAGCTGGCTGCATAAATTTGCATAAATAAAGAGGAGCCAAATGTTAATAACCAAGACAACGGGGAAAATGCCTCAAAGGCATTCCAGAGACCTTTGTGGCAGCCCCTCCCATTACAGGCCTGAAGGCCTAGGAGGGAAGAATGGTTTCATGGGCCAGGCCAAAGGCCCCGCTGGATGGGCCCTGGGACACTGCTCCTTGTGTCCTAGTCATTCCAGCTCCAGCCATGGCTAAAAGGTCCCCAGATACATCTGAGGCCACTGCTCCAGAAGATGCCAGCTATAAGCCATGGTGACTTCTATGTGGTGTTAAGCCTGTGCGTGCACAGAGGGCAAGAGTTGAGGCTTGGGAGCCTCCACTTAGATTTCAGCGGATATATGGAAATACCTGGATGTCCAGGCAGAAGTCTGCTGCAGGGTTGGAGCCCTCATGGAGAACCTCTACTAAGGGCAGTGAGGAGGGGAAATGTGGGGTTGGAGCCCTCACACAGAGTCCCCTCTGGGGCACTGCCTAGTGGAGCTGTGAAAAGAGGGCCACTGTCCTCCAGACCCCAGAATGGTAGAGCCACTGGCAGCTTATACCGTGTGTCTGGAAAAGCCTCAGGCACTCAACACCAACCCTTGAGAGTAGCCATGGTAGCTGAGCCCTGCAGAACCACAGGGGTGCAGATGCCCAAGGCCTTGGGAGCCCACCCCTTGCATCAGTGTGTCCTGGATGTGAGACATGGAGTCAAAAGATATTATTTTGGAGCTTTAAGATTTAATGACTGACCTGCTGGGTTTCAGACTTGCATGGGGCCTATAGCCCCTTTGTTTGGGCCAATTTCTCCCTTTTGGATCAGGCATATTTACCTGATGCCTGTACCCCATTGTATCTTGGAAGTAACTAACTTGTTTTTTATGTTATAGGCTCATAGACAGGAGTGACTTGCCTTGTCTTAAATGAGACTTGGACTCTGGACTTTTGAGTTAATGCTGAAATGAGTTAAGACTTGGGGGACAGTTGAGAAGGGATGATTGTATTTTGCAATGTGAGAAGGACATGAGATTTGGGAGGGGCCAGGGGTGGGATGATATGGTTTGGATTGTGTCCCCACCCAAATCTCATGGTAAATTATAATCTCCAATGTTGGAGGAGGGGCCTGGTGGTGGGGGGTGATTGGATCATGGGGGTGGACATCCCCCTTGCTGTTCTCACAAGATCTGGTTTTTTAAATGTGTGTAGCACAGCCAGGCACGGTGGCTCACGCCTGTAATCCCAGCACTTTGGGAGGCTGAGGCAGGCAGATCACAAAGTCAGGAGATTGAGACCATCCTGGCTAACATGGTGAAACCCCGTCTCTACTAAAAATACAAAAAAAATTAGCCGGGCGTCGTGGCAGGCACCTGTAGTCCCAGCTACTTGAGAGGCTGAGGCAGGAGAATGGCGTGAACCTGGGAGGCAGAGCTTGCAGACAGCCGAGATCATGCCACTGCACTCCAGCCTGGGCGACAGAGCTTGCAGACAGCCGAGATCATGCCACTGCACTCCAGCCTGGGCGACAGAGTGAGACTCCATCTCAAAAAAAAAAAAAAGTGTATAGCACCTCCCCTTCACTCTCTCTTCCTTTTTCTCTGGACGTGTAAGACGTGTTTGCTTCCCCTTCACCTTCCACCATGATTATAAGTTTCCTGAGGCCTCCTCAGCCATGTTTCCTGTTCAGCCTGCGGAACTCTAAGACAATTAAACCTCTTTTCTTTATAAATTACCCAGTCTCAGGTAGTTCTTTATAGCAATGCAGGAATGTACTAATACACCTTCCTTTTATACTGGTGAATGATCCTGGTTGTTGGAAACACATAATGCCCTTAGTTTAAATTGAAAATTAACCACTAGACAGTCTTTTCTCAATTATCCTTCAAGTATGTATAGTCCTTCAATTATATTTTGAAATGAATTTGAGGTAAAAGCATTCTGAAGTTAGGATTTCAAATTCTCTTAGTTTAAGCAAAATGACTTTAGTCAAGTCTGAATTGTCAAGTAAATTATATAAGCAAAACCTTCTAATAGAATTGTCTCCAGCCAGTACTCTCCAAGTCTGAAAGGAGTCGGGGAAGGGAGTGATTAATCTGGAAAAAAAAAAAGATTTTTGTGTTGTCATTTTAGGGGAGAACCATGAAATAATTATTCTCAAATGTCAAGTAGATTTATTTTATATAGTCCCAGATAGACCACCAGCTAGACATAATAGGGAGACAGATTTAGGATTGTTACAAGCTTTAATATCCTATGAATAAGATTTGTCAAAATATGGAACAGACTTCCTTATAGAATTGAGAAATTCAACCATTGGACACTTTTGTGATTGATGGAAAGTCTTGTTCTGAGAATAAGGGTAAATCAGATGCCTTTCAGCATGTTTCCAACTCAAGGACTTCATGATGTGGCAAACTACTCTGAAAATGTAAACTTCAGACGGATGAGTCCTTGACTTTGTGGAACTTATTTCTGACCCTTGGTAGGCTCAAAATATTTCTGATGTGCATCAGAGCCATATCTCAATAAAAATCAGTGTTTAAAAGTCCATTTCCATATTTATTTATTATTACTTTTTCCTTACTTCAGTCAGAATGATGTTAGAAGCCTTTTGTTTGTTAGTACGTGTATCTACACAAGCAGCCAGTAGGACTATAAGGATTCTGTACTATCAGTATAAAAATCTAGGTTATTTCTATGCTTCATAATATTTTTGTGACAAAGGGGTTCATGTATTGTGGAGTTAACATGGTTTTTACCCCCTTATACTGAATGTCTACTTTTTTTTTCTTTTTTTTTTTCCTCACTCTGTCACCCAGGCTGGAGTGCAGTGGTGTGATCTCGGCTCACTGCAAGCTCTGCCTTCTGGGTTCACGCCATTCTCCTGCCTCAGCCGCCTGAGTAGCTGGGACAACAGGTGCTCGCCACCACGCCCGGCTAATTTTTTTGTATTTTTAGTAGAGATGGGGCTTCACCGTGTTAGCCAGGATGGTCTCGATCTCCTGACCTCATGATCCGCCCGTCTCGGCCTCCCAAAGTGCTGGGATTACAAGCATGAGCCACCACGCCTGGCCTGAATGTCTATTTTTTAAATATAGGTTTTTCTCCTTACTTGTGTCCACCTTGGTTGTCTCCAATTCTTGTGAATGTCTGTTGAACTTAAAAAAAACTTGTTTATGATGTTTCTTATAGTCTACTTGTACTACAGTAATTTATATCTGGGATTTATTTCCCCGTTGATATATCCAGGCTGTTGCCCAGGCTGGAGTGCAATCATGTGATCACAGGTCACTGCAACCTTGACCTCCCAGACTCCAGTGATCCTCCCATCTCAGCCTCCTGAATAGCTGGTGGGAGTGCACCACCGTGCCCAGCTAATTTTTGTACTTCTTGTAGAGACAGGGTTTTGTCATATTGCCTGGGCTGGTCTTGAACTCCTGAGCTCAAGCAATCCTCCCACCTTGGCCTCCCAGTGCTGGGATTACTTACTGGTGTGAGCCACTGCGCCCAGCATTCATTTATCAATAGACATTTCACTGAACAGTTACTGCCTACAGGGTGTTATTCTAGCTGCTGAAGATACAGTGATAAGCAAAAAACATTGCCTGCTCTTGAGAAGATCACAAGGAAGAAATACACATGTAATCAGTCAAGTATACAGATGCAGATAGGTGATATAGGGCTAAAATAATGGTTTGCCCAAAGTGCTATGGGAACATTGAGGAGGAGCACCTAGCCAGCAGGTTAAGGCAGGCTAGTGGTGGAGGGCAGGGAAGTCTCCCAAGAGTGGTGTGGGAGACACACGAACAGCACTGAAAGGAGAAGTGACTTTGCCATGTGGAAGTGAAGGGCAGAGGCCTCTGGCAGAGGGCATGGGAGCTCCTTGATGTGATGTCATCTCGGTTCTCCTTGCCTGGTTCCATCTCATGCACATGCACTTGGTGATTTTAAGGGATCTGAAAATAATACAGGAACTGCAGCTTGCTGTTTCTGGTTCTCTAGGCCTTGCACGTGGACATCTGAAAGAGAAATGAAAGGATGAGAATCAGGCATGGTCTCTAGATGTTTTGGTGGGAAATCACTGAAATCTTGGCTCACAAGAAGAGTGAGCTCCCTCAGGAATTTCCATTTTTTAAGCCATCTGTTCCTCATGTTAGCAAGATCCTGGAAAGAGGTATTGAGAAGTCAGAGCAGGAATGAAGAAACGTGGGCTCTCCTGGTTTTAGCTGCCTGCATGTCCCAAAGGAAATGAAGTGGGTGCTCCTCCCTGTGGGTTAGCACATGCTCACGTTTTATATGTTGGAGGCCACGTCCTTTCCCTTTATTTGTTTCAATCATTTGGGTAATTCCCACTATTCTAATTATTTTTTGAAAGCATGCAATCTTTAATTCTTTATCTACTGATTTGGAGCCCCTGGGGGTTCAATTTAGATTCTTCATGCAGAGGAGAATGTCTGCAATAAGGGGTGATTTATGTCATGGTGGAGAAATAACAAAAACAGGCAAATCACCTCTCAGCAAATAAACAGTGGAGGTTTTCTCCAACTTCCTACTACTCAGCCAAGAAGGATGAGATTTAAGGTTATAAGGACTATTTAAAAAGTGTGTAACTACTATTCACAATAGCAAAGACACAGAATCAATCTAATGCCAATCAGTGGTAGACTGGATAAGGAAAATGAGGTACATATACACTATGTAATACTATGCAGACGTAAAAGAACAAGATCATGTCCTTTGCAGCAACATGGATGGAGCTGGAGACCATTATCCTTAGCAAACTAATGCAGGAACAGAAAATCAAACATCCATGTTCTCATTTATAAGTGGGAGCAAAATGATAAGAACACATGGACACACACACAGGGCCTATTGGAAGGTGGAGGGTGGGAGGAGGGAGAGGATCAGGAAAAATAGCTAATGGGTACTGGCTTAATCCCTTGGTGTTGAAATAATCTGTACAGCAAACCCCCATGACACAAGTTTACCTATATAACAAACCTGCAGATGTACACCTAATCTTAAAAGTAAATTTTAAAAAAGTTTACTATCTTTTGTACATATCCAGTATTTCTTTGGTGTTTTACCAGTAGATAGAAATAGATGCCACTGTATCATTATGAAACAAAAAATCAATGTGTGTCGTGCTTAGTTTAGGTCCTCTCCAATGGATGTGAGGTTTTTATTGCTCTCTTTCACTGGGTCTGCCTTTCTCTGCGTGTGCTGGAGTGAAAATTAATCAGCCCCTCTGGTCGTGAGCAGATTGCATGTTTGTGCTGCCTGTCTTTCTGCCTCTGCGGAGCTGTAGAGGAGCCACCAGAGAGCAGAGGGCCAGAACTGCTGAAGTTTTTGTCTGAATGTTCACACCGGAATCTGGTCGGGGGGAACTGAGAAACCAGAACAGGAATGAAGAAATGTGGGCTCTCCTGGTTTTAACTCCCTGCACTTCCAGAAGGAAATGAAGGGGTGTGCTCCCTCAGGAATACCACAAGGAAGGGAGGAACTTATTTTAAGTAAAATGCAGCACCACGCTAATAATAATTTTAAAAACTATAGCCTTAGAGGTTTTTCTTTTTAATAGCAGACATAACCCTATTTATCACATCACTTATTTTATTGAGACCATCCTGGCTAACATGGTGAAACCCTGTGTCTACTAAAAAATACAAAAAGCCAGGTGTGGTGGCAGGTGCCTGTAATCTCAGCTACTCAGGAGGCTGAGGCAGGAGAATCGCTTGAACCTGGGAGGCAGAGGTTGCAGTGAGCTGAGATCACGCCACTGCACTCCAGCCTGGGCAACAGAGCAAGACTCCATCTCAAAATAAAAAAATTTTTTTTAAATAATCCTGTGGCAAAATCCATAAAATTGACTAATATACTAGCCTTGAAATATGCTAAGGTGTTACAATTATGCCCTTTACATTTATGTACATATATATATATACACACTATATAGAGAGGAAATTTGAGACTTCATAATAGTGGTAGCATATGTCCAAGGTTTTTGAGTGTTTTTGGCAAAGCAGAAAGAACATGCATATGAATATGTAACTGGTTTTGTGTATGTCAAAAATGGGCTTTAAACTCATGGTAAGCAATGTTCTGAATGTTACGTAGCTCAACCTAGACTAGGTCTTCAGTAGAACCTTAGCTTTTTAAACTCATTTCAAAGTAAAGAAATTCCATAAGGGCTATGTGGATTCGGTCTTGAGGACAAAGAGTGAAAGGTAATTCTCTGAAGATTTTGTTGTCATTGTTTTTAACATGATTAGGCTGGGTGCAGTGGCTTACACCTATAATCCCAGGGTTCTGGGAGACTTGAGGCCAGGAGTTCAAGACTAGCTTGGGCAACATAGTGAGGCCTCAGCTCTACCAAAAAAAAAAAAAAAATGTTTAAAATTAGCTGGACATGGTGGTATGCATCTGTAGTCCCAGCTACAGCAGAGGCTGAGGTGGGAGGATCACTTGAGCCCAGGAAGACCCTGTCTCCAAAATAAAAAAAGAACATTATTAAAGGTAATGAGACAATGAGACCAACCATGTGCTAAACAAGAATAAAAATTTAGAGACAAAAATCTAATAACTTAAAAAAAATAACTATTTCATTAATGCAACAATACTTACTGAGTTCTACTAACACCATGTTGGGCACCAGAGACATTTGATCCCTAGGCAAAGGTCAGAAGAAGGAAGAACAGCTTCTTTCCTGAAGGAGCTTACACTATGGTGGAGAAGGCAGAAAAGAAATCTGGGGGCTGTGAGGCGCTCACTGGGAGCCCTGAAGACAAAGTGGGGGCACGGGGTGAGATGAGAGGGTTGTCAGCCAGAGAAACAGCTTTCCTGGACCCAGCATGGGGGTGGGGCGAAAAGTCACAACACTTATATTGAATATTTAGTACCAGTTAACTTAGGTTTCTATACATGATGCATTACTTGATTAGGTAAGTGTAAATTTACTTGGTTCCTGCTAAAATACATAGTATCCTCAAGTGGAAATTAAAACACAAGAACAAGCCACAGGTCTCCCGCATGCTGATTATATTTGCTAAGTGTTTTGTGACTTGGACACACGTGTCTGCATTATCAGCTAGCTTAAATTCGGTAGTCATACCAAAGAATACGTAGTACAATGCTGTTTAAAGAAGAGATTTATTTTATTATTTAACTTTTAAAGTCTCTAATATGCCTTCTAAGAAGGGTTCTGGCTCAGAAAATTGCAGAAGAAAATCGAGTAGAGAACTAGAATTACAGAAACCTAAGAAATACTTTTACTGAGCTTTCTTCACACAAGAAAATGCACGGAAATGAATTATACATGGATACCAATTTGTGATTTTTAAAAATTTGTAATTTTTTAAATTAAGATAAAAATTAGTTTATTTTTTTGAATACTTTTTTGTTTTGTTTTACCTCACCCTTTACTAAGCTGTTAGCTTGGTCTGTTGCGCTTACTGCTATATCCTCAGCATCTAGTACAGTTCCTGACACATATATGCACTTAATAAGTATTTGTCAAATGAATATTATTGAGTAAATAAGATGAAGGTCAATTCAGAAATTCAGCACTATCAGGCTATATACATAATACAGACTATTATAAAAAACTAGAATGGAGCAGTTCCTTTTAACGACGGAGAAATGTCAGTAACATACTTTGAGCACAATATAGCTAATTTCACAACTGGTCTTTAAATATAACATACCTATAATCAATTTAATGTTTTTCTTTGTTACCAGAGTTGTTCAAAACGTGCGTTTCACCTATCAAAGCTCAACTAAATGAGGTTTAAGAAATCTGCACATTTGAATGTACTTAATTTTAAAAGATTCTGGTTTTGGATTAACTCTGGATTTCACCCTATGGGAAATTTTGTAAATATTTCCAACTTAAAAAAAAACTGTGAAGCCCCAGCGCTAAGAGTAAACGATGCATTGGAATTTCAACAGGATTTCTGTAACTCTGAAATAATCTTTAGCATTTCTTCTTCCCCCCATCCCCTCAGTGTAGGAGCATTCCAGTCCAAGTTTCTGGGAGATCGCTATCGAATCTTATGACACTGGGGTGAGAAGTTTTGCCGGGTTGAAATGAGGGGGTCACTTTAATAATCTGGAATTCCGGAGACTTTATGTCAAGTCTTAAAAATTCGAGCCTGTGGAAGGCTGCGCTGTCAAGAGACCGGAGTTGCGAGCGTCTGGGTGACGTCCGTCCTCCTGGAAGGTGGGATCCGGGTGGCAGGTCCCTGGGCGGCGACTCCGGCCGGGCTCATAGCGTCGCGCCCGCCCCGCTCATCGGCCCTACCCAGCGTCCCTCCCAGACCGACGACCGCCTGGGAAGCCTCGAGCTCCCAGCCCGCTGCACAGCCCGGCTCCGCTCCACAGTCCCCCACTGCCACCGGCCGGGGCGACACCGGGCGAGCTGGCGAGACCCGGCTCCAGGACCGAATCGCGCCGACACTTGACGGCGCTCCCCGCCCCTCCCTGCCGCCGTCTCCGCCCCCGTCCGGTCGCATTCCGGCGCCCGCCGCCGCCGCCGCCACCGCCGCCGATCTGGGAGGCTTGTCCCTCGCCGCCCACCGTAGCCCCGGCGCTCGGCCGGTCGCCGTTTCCAAGATGGCCGCGGCGCGCACGGCTCCTGCGGCGGGGTAGAGGCGGAGGCGGAGTCGAGTCACTCCCGCACTTCGGGGCTCCGGTGCCCCGCGCCAGGCTGCAGCTTACTGCCCGCCGCGGCCATGCGGGGCTCCGTGCACGGATGAGAGAAGCCGCTGCCGCGCTGGTCCCTCCTCCCGCCTTTGCCGTCACGCCTGCCGCCGCCATGGAGGAGCCGCCGCCACCGCCGCCGCCGCCACCACCGCCACCGGAACCCGAGACCGAGTCAGAACCCGAGTGCTGCTTGGCGGCGAGGTGAGTGTGGCGGCCGCAGTCGGTCGCTCGCAGAAAGCGGGGCGGGTCCTGGCCCGAACTCGGTCGGGCCCGAGGGCCTCTGCTTCCCGCCAGGTGGGGAGGGAAGCATCCAGTCTCTGCAGGCTGGGGCGGGAGGGGCGCGGTGCATCCCTGGGTCCCAGGGGACCGCGTCTGAGTCTGTCCGGCGACTCCTCCCGGGGTTGCAGCTCCGCAGGGTTCCGCTCGAGCGTGTTGCCGGCTCCCCTTCCCTTGTAGACTCCCCCAGCTCACCCTCAACGTTGCGGGGGCTGGGAGCAGAGTGCGGCTGCCTCCCCTGCCGCTAGCTTCGGAAGAGTGGCCTCACTGAAGTGCCTCTCATCATTACTGAACGAAAGTGGTCCCTCCCCTCTGCCCTCATTCGAGTAAAAGAGACATTCGGAAATCGAGTGCGTACTGGCTATTTCCCCGCGTTCTCCTCCTCCTCTCCTTTTGCCCGCTCCAGAGAATGCCTGTCATCTCTTCCGTGAGAAATTGCACTTAGACTATGCAGACAGATACGTTGCTTTCCTGTTCTGAGGGCCCCTTACTGTCCTTTAGTGCTAGTATTGTGCAGATTGTTGCTCACACGTGCACAAAAGTAAGGATTCATTTGTCTAAAACTTTGCTACTGCAGGAAGCTCTAAGGTGGAACTTCGGTAACCAAAGCATTTGTTGCTTTTTCTTCCATACTCTATTAACTTATTTTTATGTCTTTATTTTTTTTTTAATTGAGAGAACAAACTCACCATAACTGAGAATTTCCCTCTTTTTACGTGCCTATGTTTGTATGTTCAAATGTCCTCTTACTCCCTGTCCTTTGCATCCCAGAGTAAACTTGCAAACTGCTGCCCCCTGTCCCCTGTAATGAAAATACCTCGGCAGCTCCTCTTGGCATCTTATGGTCTTGCTCTATGGTTCTAGGAATAAGGCAGTAAAGTGTCCTCTTTTTCCTGCTTAAAGAAAATTCACACCTGTAACTGTAGTTAGAACTGAACACAGGAGCCATATTCTTGCTTGTCATCATTCAGTTGGCCCAAACAAATTTGTTTTATTTTTATAAGCTGTGAAGAAATTAGTTGCCTCTTTTAATTCTGAGATAGTTCTGGGTACTTCTAAGGAACAACTTCTCTGAATAATGGTACAGGGTGTAATGAGAATTCCTTTGGTTCCTTTTGAATACATCTAGTATTTTTAGAAATTTTGTCAGAAAGTTTATTATAAATTTGTTAACGGATCAGTTTTCGAGCAATTTTGATACCTTTTTCTTTAAAATTAATAGTGAACACTTAACGGTTAAAATAGGCCATTGTCTTTATTTCTATTAACCCATTTAATCTTTTCAACAACTCTATGAGGTAGGTCCTGTTATACTCTCTTTTTGACAGATGAGGAAACTGAGGCACACAGTTTAAGTATCTTGTCCAGGGTTTCACAGCTGGTAATGAAGAAAGGTCTGGCTGCACAGCCCATGTCTTTAACCACCATGAAGAATTCATTATCCAAATGGGCGGATCAGAAATTAGAATTCTGTATAACCCTACTCCGGAAAGAAATGGACATGAGCATTCTTAGGTAAAAGCGAGAAGGGCAGAGAAATGAAAATGTGCTGCAAAAATGACTGCTGCTTCAGTGGTAAAAAAAAAAAAAAACTTGACTTTTCAGTCAGGCTTCTGTCTGTGTTATAATAAAAATAGGTCAGGATAATGGGTTTCATCCAACTGTAAGTGAACAGCAGTGTACGGAACAAGAAGATCTCAATATTTTTCTTAGCAACATTGCAGTTAATTTTACAATAGAAAAATCTGTAAAACAGATTACTTGACAAAGCTGTTGTTTTCTCTTTTTTATGTCCTCGTTGTCACCACCTGCTCTTCAATACATAGAACTGACCTCTGACAGAATTACTGTAGATCTTTGGTAAAAGATGTAGGGGGTCTATCCAGTTGTTCATTTGAACTTTTTTTTTTAACCATTTTAGAGGAGCTCAGTGTACGTGTTCAAAATGTGTGAAATGCCACCTCTTTTTTTTTTTTACAATTTTCTTTTTTATTTTATTTTCAATAGTTTTTGGGGTACAGGTGTTTTTTGGTTACATGGATAAGTTCTGTAGTGGTGATTTCTAAGATTTTGGTGCACCTGTCACCCAAGCAATGTACACTGTACCAAATATGTAGTCTATTCCTCACCCCGCTCTGAGCCTTCCCCCGAGTCTTCAAAGTCCATTATATCATTCTTACGCCTTTGCATCCTCCTAGCTTAGCTCTCACTTATAAGTGAATACGATGTTTGGTTTTCCATTCCTGAGTGACTTCACTTAGAGTAATGGCCTCCAGCTCCATCCAAGTTGCTGCAGTTGCCATTATTTCGTTGTTTCATGGCTGAGTAGTAGTCCATGGTGTATATATGCCACATTTTCTTTATCCACTCATTGGTTGATGGGCATTTAGGTTGGTTCCATATTTTTGCAGTTGTGAATTGCGAATTGCTGCTATAAACGTGTGTACATGTGTCTTTTTCATATGATTAGTTGTTTTCCTTTGGGTAGATACTCAGTAGTGGGATTGCTGGATCAAATGGTAGTTCTACTTTTAGTTTTTAGGTTTTTTTAGTTTTTTTTGAGACAGAGTCTTTCTCTGTTGCCCAGGCTGGAGTGCAGTGGCGTGATCTCAGCTCGCTGCAACCTCTGCCTCCCGAGTTCGAGCAATTCTCCTGCCTCAGCCTCCCGGGTAGCTGGGATTATAGGTGCCTGCCACCAGGTCCAGCTCATTTTTGTATTTTTAGTAGAGACAAGGTTTCACCAAGTTGGTCAGGCTTGTCTTGAACTCCTGACCTCGTGATCCGCCCATCTTGGCCTCCCAAAGTGTTGGGATTACAGGCGTGAGCCACTGCGCCTGGCCAGTTTTTTAAGGAATCTCCATATTGTTTTCCACAGTAGTTGTACTAGTTTACATTCCCACCAGCAGTGTATAAGAGTTCCCTTCTCACCACATCCATGCCATTGTCTATTTTTTTAATTATTATTTTTAAATTATGGCCATTCTTGCAGGAGTAAGGTGGTATCTCATTGTGGTTTTAATTTGCATTTCCCTGATAATTAGTGATGTTGAGCATTTTTTCTTATGTTTGTTGAAAATGTGTGAAATGCCACCTTTTAATACATTGGAAACCAATAATGTGATAATTTATGCTACCAGGTTAACTGGTTTTGCCACAGACTAGAATAAAACTCTGTTTGCCATCTTTGTCACATACTTTATGTCTGTGTGTCATTGATTAGGAAGGTTGTGTTAATGCACAGGCCTTTTGTAGAATTCAGGCCTGTACATGTTGGCCTCCAAAGCTGTGCAGCAAGTGTGCCATCGTGGCAGGTGCAGCCAGCCCAGCACATCTGCCTAGTGTGTGCTTTCCTCCTGACCCAAGAGTGTTATGCAGTGACCCAGCAACACAAAACAGGCAGAGAGGTCATAGTACTCTATTCCAGTTTTATTGCTTGCTGTCAGTTGTGGATACTTTTGTCCTTATTTTTGATAAAGAATTCATGATAAGGATAGCTGTTGTTATTGTTAGTGATTAAATTTTGAAATAAACATTGCTTATCATTTCTTTTTCAAGCTTCTGGGGCAGTTTTAGGAGGATCCTGAGGTGACTAGGAGAGCTATTAAAACTAATTTGGAACAATTTACCTTTGTGACTTATTGGATCTGTACACCTAAAACACAGAATAAATTGGATATTAAGGCTGATATAATGCTCTTGTTTACTATAACCTTTCATTTAAAATATTTATATTAAAAATAGCCTCATTGTTCTCATTGTCCTTATGAGTACATGCTGCATAAATTTAACAATTAACTTTTTTTAAAAAATGAATTATTTACTTTATATATTTATTGTAAATTCATTTGAAAAACTGGATTTCCTACTAAAAAACTAGTTGAATGTCGTCACTCCTAGGCAATTTGCTCTGCCTCTCGGCTTGAATGTCCACCTTGAGCCTGTGTGTTTCAGTCTTGACCTTGTATGTCAACTGTTCTCCCTGGCAAAGTCAGCCTCCTGTGGTGCTCCAGACTGTTGGTGTAGCATCAGTGATGGTCATGCCTTTACACCACTGTAACAGTAGATGCCATTGGCGGGGGTGGCGTTAGGCAGAGAGGAGTCACCAAACAGCAGTGATGGCAGAAACTTCATGTTTTCAACTGGGGACTTGTCACTTAGGAGGACTTTGTAGTTCCCTTTAATTTTCTGTCATTGTTAGAGGCCACTCTGTTTCCTTCATGTATGCTCTCATGGTGTCCTGCAAATCTTGTTCTGAGCTCTGCTGAAATACGGGGATATAAAGGTCTTGCCTGCTCACTGGATACATTTGTTGTAATAACTTCCTGTTATTTAATAATTCCTCATTCCTCATGACTATGATTTTACTCATAGCATTCTATTGTCTCAGCCTTGTCATTTGACCAGGTAGTATGTATGCTGTTTGAAGACTCTTTAACGTTGCCTATCAGTAGGCTACTGGTAGTGGTTTCTTTAAAGAGAAAATGGAAAACGTGAGAGAAGGAGATTAGCTGAAGACTCCGTAGGTCTTCATAAGCTGGCACTCCCTTGGCACGATAATCAAGGCCCAGACACTCACTGTGCTTGGCTTCTCAGGCACAGATACTCAGCTTTGTCTGTACACCTGGTTAGTCAGTGTATTCTCTTGCTTGTAGAAAGCCAAAGTATAATTAAGAGATTGATTAGTAAGCATGATATTAGCAAGGGAAATGAGTTGAATGATCCCGGTGACTCATGTTAGCAGACCAGTGAGGTGGGCTTGCATCCCTAGCAGGTGCACCCCTGCTTCTGAATGAGAGGCAGTGTGATCCAGACTTACTCTTAGGTTTTTATTTTCTAGGCATCACACAGGCTGCTTTTTTCCCTTGTGTCACAAACTTTCCTAAATTGTTTGGGTTATAGTATGTTTGTTTTAATCTTCAGTCTTTATAACAAACCTTGCTTTTCCTGCTTTAATTTGGGAGTATATTTTATCCTTCTCACTTTAAGATTTCTTTTTTTAAACCTCAGTGGTACGGTACATTTTTACTAATGGTGAGTCTCAGAGGATCACCTTATTGTCTCCATCCCCCACCCAGTATTCTCCCCATAATCTCTGTCCCACCACCCCTCGCCAAGAATCCTTTAGCATAGTTTCTCAGAACAATGTGGCAAAGATGTCAGTGGTTGGTGCTTTCATAAAATTCTTTTTGAATATTGTGTTCAAAAAGGATCATGATGGTATCTGGCTTTTCTGGATTTAAGTCATAAAATTAAATTTTAAAAAATCAGAACCACATCAGAATTCTATCCAGTTATTAAAAACTGTTTTTAAATAGTGTTTAGTGACATGTGAAGATGCTCATGATACAACTCCTTTTGGGGTGGTACCTGAGTAGCTCTTCTTAAGAAGATTCTCAAGTATTTCTGATGTATACATACTCACCGCTGTGTTCAGCAAGAACAAACAGACTATGAAACAGAATTTGCAGAAGATGGGAGCCAAAATTTGAGGTAGTTTTTCATCTCATACACATATTTGTCCACCGGCTGTGTCTGCCCTACTTCACTGTCTTCCTTCTACCTTATTTGGGGGAATTCCTCTCTTGACTCAAACTACATGGTACATATTGGAGCTGCCCTCTTCTTACAGATGCCAGGCCATAGGCATGACACTTGACCCAGTCCAGGCCAATTAGGATTCTTTCCTGGGATTTTTCAAATTGGAGCTGGGAGAGAGAAACGCGCATTTTACTGAAGTATAGGCTGAGAATTCATGAGCCTAGAGCTAGCTTCCTGAAGCTCCTACAGAGGACCTGGTCTCAGAGAGTGATGTTAATCCCCAGAGAAAAGCAGAGAGGCTGAAAGAGGTCTATGGCCAGTTGCCTTTAAAATAAATAAATAAATAAAAATAAATAAAGAGATGGCAGTCTCTGTATGTTACCCAGGCTGGATTCAAACTTCTGGTCTCAAAGAATTCTTTTGCCTTGGCCTCCCAAGTAGGTGGTACTACAGGTGCGCACCACCACACTGTCAGCCAGTTGCCCTTTTGTGCTAGATTTGTCCCTATTTTTCTCCTGATTTGATGTGAGCTAATCTCTATTTGTGCTTAAACTATTAATTTGAGTTAAACTTCTTAAAACCCTAATACTCAGTGTGATCGCATTTTAAAAAGTATGTGCATAGAAAAAAGATATAAAAAATACATACTAATTTTTCCTAAAACTTTTTATGATGAACGTGTTACACATTTTATTTTAAAATAAAAAGCTAATCAGAGAGCCTAAATTCTTAACTAGCTCATTTATAATTTTAAGTTTCTTTACGTTGAATTGTTACTAAAATTGAAATTGATGAGAGTCCATGTGATATAAAGAGAATATTGTTGCCAAATTTTAAATGATTTTATTTATTTTTGGTATCTGAGCTGGCTTATCTGAGCTGGCTGTAGCAAGCTGCTTTTAAAAAACTATTTACTTCAGCTTGGGTAATAGAGTATGTAGATTAGAAACAACTCCAACAGTAACAAAACAAACACAGGACTTACATTAGGGTGGTCTTTTACATTAATAGAAATATTTAAAATCTAGAACTGTGTTCTCAACATGTATATTGTGTTTAAATGCTTTCCCCATTTTAAGCGGTGTACTTGAAATGTCTATATTTTAAAAGATACATTATTCCACTGGCAGTGAGTATGGTAGGTGCATTTTTAGACCCCTGCAGATCTCACACTGTGTAATCGAGTGCCTTTGCCTTTAAATATTTATTCACTAGCAGGCAACATGAAGTTTTGTTTTTGAATTACAAGAACGTTCATGTTTTGCAATTTGCAGACCTACCTCAGCAGTATTGGTTTCATGGGTCATATGGATGCCACGTGTTTATAAATTAGCAGGGAAAGCTATTAAGAATATATTAGGCAGTCTATCAAAAGCATTTCATACATGGATTTCATTTCAGACAAAATAAGCCTTCTGTGGAGAAAAGTAGATACTAAGCTTTAAAGCTGATCAGATTTGATGTTTTCAGTGGAAGCTTTTTTGTGTGTGAGCAGGCTATTTGAAGATACTGCTGAAATGTAGAACTTTCTGAATAGGGCTTGTTAGAGGACAGCTAGTTTAGAGTTGTCAAATTAATAGAAATTGTCAACCTTTTTAGTGTTTCAGTGGGGAACTTTTGGACGATAGTACATTTATTTTATTTAAAATCCTAAAGTCTTTTTATATGGGAACATAAAAATGTAGATATAACTTGGTTTTCTCACACAATTTTTGGAGTTAGTTAGTTGTATCTGTTAAGTATTTAGTTCTTACTCAGATAAGGATTTAAACATTTGCTAATACAAGTTCTTACAGATGGTAGGACGCTTAGTGTTCATTTCATCCAACTTCCTAGCCATTGCTTATAGAATTACAAGAGTTGAGCTCTTATAAGATCATTTGGGCTGTGCGTCTCGTTTTAGAGATGAGAAAAATGGCCTAGAGGGGCTGCAGCTTTCCCAGCTGACAGCTTAGGCTCCAGATCTGCAAGCCCTTCTTCCCTTACCCTCGCATCGCCATGTGCTCCCCTGGTCAAGGTCCAAAGCCAAGGTGTTCTCCAGCCACCTGCCATACATAGCCCAGCTTAAGCCCATGTGCACAGTTACTTGGCAACCGTGAAATGCTGTATTTTCTGGATGAATTGGACTCAACAGGATCAAACGAGATGAAAGATTTGTTTTTAGAAAAAAATGCAAATAGAAAATATGAAATCCTCTTAAAACTCATCATCCACAACGTTTTTCCCCCGTGAAACTTTTATTTCTTGCTCGCAGAATAAAGAAGAGCCAATGCTCAGAAATTTTCAGATACGTTGTTATTTTCAGGCGTCGGTCTGTACATCAAGAAGACAGTAAGATTCTAACTTCTGGTCTGTAGTAGTGGTTTTGAAACTGTGTTTATGGTCGTGACCTACAGTAAGAAATATATTTTATGACAGTGTGTGTGTGCCTTATAACCAAAAGAAAACAATTTTGAAACAGTATTTGACCTTGCAATATATGATACTCAAATAATTCTTATTCTGTTCTATTAAAAATTGTTCATCATAACCTACTAAATTGATTTTATTACCCACAAATAGGTTGTGACCCTCAGTTTTAAAAGCATAGCTCTACCCAAAATAAAATGGATGCTGTTATACTTTGTACCTTGTCCCTTGAGACTGAGTCAGGAGAACAAGTACACTATTTGTCTACTAAATGATCAAATGGAATTTTGAAGAAGCTCGGCAATACTTACTTCTTGAAGACAGCATTGTTACCCGAAGGCAAGAGTAAGAATGTATCTATGCTTGTCTCTCAAGGTTGTTCTCTTGGCTGCTTATCCTTAAACTACAAGAATTGTAAAGATCAGTTTAAAATCTAGGATTAATTTTAGAGTAAAATTGGGATTGGCATTATGTGAATAATTTAGGTAATTTGTTGATCTTTCTCTGAAACAGTAACCTGTGTTTAAAATTTTTCACATAGAGCAGTCCTTAAGAAAAGAAAGGAACTCATTTTCCCCTGATATATATACACACATATATGTGTACACCATATATACACACACATACACACACATATATGTGTACACCCATCTGTATACACACATATGTGTACACCCATATATACACACATGTGTACACCCATATATACACACATGTGTATGCACACATACACATGTGTACGCACATATACACATGTGTACACATACATATATGTATATTATACTATACATATATGTACACACACATATATAGTGTATAATATGCATATATATGCACACATAGTGCATATTATATATAATATACACATATGTATATAATATATATTATATATTATAATATACACATATGTATATAATATATATTATATATTATAATATACACATATGTATATAATATATATTATATATTATAATATACACATATGTATATAATATATAATATATATTATATACACATATATAATACAAGTGTATATAAGTATATATGTATATACATATATATGTGTACACATATATAAGAAATCCAAATCCAAATACTGAAAAATTTACAAAAAATATTTACAAAAATATTTTTATCAAGTTATTAATTATAGGTGGAATCATGTATGTCTCAAGCTATGTGTTATAAATGTTATCAAATAATTCAAACAATATATTTCACATCTATATATTCTGTATATGCATGATATATATGTCATATGTAATCTATGTTAGGGTACAGCAGTTTCACTTTAGGTCTTAAGCATTGCTTACTTTAGGGTCCACCTTGACATTTCCCCCGCTTCCCCCCAGAATAGATGAGATCCTTCTGTTATGTGTCCTCAGAGCCCCTGCAGTTTGCCACCATTTGTAATTATATATTTGTGTACATATTTGTTTATTATGTTTGCCTTCAGTAAACTCCATGAGGGCTGGGGCATCGTCTGTTGTTTTGCTTACTTTTATTGCCTAATTCCTGGCTCGTTGCCTAACAGCAGGTTCTTTGCTGACACTTGTATGAAGGAGGCAGAGCATAGGTTTTGGTAGTAGATAGGCTTTGAATGTTACCTTTTGATTGCTAGCAGTAGGATTGTGGGGAAGTAATTTAGCCTCTCTCAGTCTGTTTCCGCATTTGAAAGGCAAAAATAATAACATCTTCCTAGGTTGTTATTAAGATTAAGTAATTCCTGTTCTATAGTAAGTGCTCAGTATTAGCTGTTTTATTACATTTCTCTTTCTTCCTCTTTTTGGGCTTAAGGTAAAAGAGGCAAATCCTATAGTGATTTTCTTAAAAAGCCACCAAATATGCATTGAGGCTGGATACTTTTAAAAATAGCTGCAATAATCTCCATTCAAGAAACATTTCCCCCCCAACGTCTGCAGAAGCCATAGAAATAAGAAAAAGGTTTTTTTTTTTTTTTTTTTTTGGATCTAGCTTTTCCAGATTCTCTCTCTTACTTTAGTTGTGGTTTATTCTGCATATTATTCCTACAGGTGTTTGGAATTCTGGCTGGCCCTTGGATCATCATAAATCATGCTGCTAAATTAAGAACTGTAACGCTACTGATTGTGATTGTTTAGGTTAATAGGCACAGCTGTCTTTTTCTGTGGAAATTCTTTTTAGTTCATTTAACTTGTGTCTTTATAACTTGGATTAATTTTCTTTTCATTTTTTAAATGTTATACACTGTAAGAGGAATAGTTTTCAAATTGATCTAGCCACTGCCTAAGAAAAATGAATGAAATCTTTTCACGTAATAAAACTAGATTGATCTAGCTACTGCCTGAGAAAAGTGAGTGAAATCTTCTCGCTTAATAAAAGTAACTTAATCAGTTAGAAATTTTCCTGATTATAAAGGTAACCTGTATCTATTATGGAAA
Source organism: Homo sapiens (assembly GCF_000001405.40). NCBI lineage: Eukaryota > Metazoa > Chordata > Mammalia > Primates > Hominidae > Homo > Homo sapiens. The sequence goes on from NC_000006.12 coordinate 161,002,526, forward strand.
ACTATGAATCATATAAAGAAGAAAATGACCAATTCTAATTCTGCCATCTAAAAATAGTTTTGGCTTTTTTTTTTTTTTTTTTTTGAGATGGAGTCTCGCTCTGTCACCCAGGCTGGAGTGCAGTGGTGCAGTCTTGGGTCACTGCAAGCTCCGCCTCCTGGGTTCATGCCATTCTCCTGCCTCAGCCTCCTGAGTAGCTGGGACTACAGGCGCCTGCCACCATGCCCGGCTAATTTTTTGTATTTTTAGTGGAGATGGAGTTTCACCATGTTAGCCATGATGGTCTCGATCTTCTGACCTTGTGATCCACCCGCCTCAGCCTCCCAAAGTGCTGGGATTACAGGCGTGAGCTCCCGCACCCGGCCGGCATATTTCTTTTCTGTGTATTTTTTTTATACAGTTTATTTTTACAAGCTGCCATATCATGAGCATTTTCCTATGACAGACAATGGCAAACTGTATTCCTCTAGATGTATATCCCATAATTTAATAGTTTGAATTTGATAACATGATATAACATATGGTTTGTGACATATGATTCCACTTACAATTAGTGACTTGATACAAATATTTTTGTGAATTTTTCACTATTTTGGATTGTTTCTTTAGGATAGCTTCCTAGGTCATAAGATATTTAGAGTTTTAAGGCTTTTGAGAGGTGTTGCTATGTTTCTTTCTAGAAAGGTATTAAGTTATTCATACCAGTGTGAAAGACAAAATGCACTGGATAATTTTATTTACAAAAGCATATTCTAAATTGTAATGAGGTATAGATCGCTTAAGAGGAAAGGGCTCCTTATATATTCAGAAAATAAAACATTAATAACAGCAACAATATTCTCAACAGAATCCACGGTCATCCTTGATTAGTTCATTCAGTCCTGTGTAATTCTTTTTCCACTTGATCTTTAGTTAGCAGTCTCATGAATTTATCTTCTTCTTGATTAGAGTTCTAGAAATCCTGAGTCAGTCCACTGGTATCTTCTCAAAGTTGTTTAAACATTACATCAGAAGACTGTACTGCAAGGTACCTGGCATAGTCCTTTTCCTTGGGTCCCAAGACAGCTCTTCTTTGTTGAAGACAGGCACTGTGGCCTGTAGCTGATTGTAAGTGCTGTCAGGGAAGCAGCAAGGTAGAACGAAAACCTATCTGTAAATGACAAAATAACTTAAAGTGGCTGTGGTTAACTTATTACTATAATTTTCAAAAGTGAAAGATCCAATGAGATTTCATTATAAGAATAAAGCAATTAATAAGGATATTTGGTTGTTTCTTTGTTGTACAAGACAAGATTAAAGTCATTCCAAAATTTTTTTAAACAAAATATTCATATAAACATAAGGATTCTATTTTCAAGAAAGAGTGGCTATTCCATTTTTATAAATTAGATGGAATATCCACTCTTTCTTGAAAATAAGAGTTAATCTTTACTGGGAAATAAAAGTATATAAATATAATTACTGAGAAAAAGAAGTTTAGATATAACATATGATAGTTCTGATATATGCCAACAATATACCAAGCATATAGTTAAAATATACCAAGAATATCAGAGAAAGAGATTCTGTAAGTCCGGAATATGTCCTGAACATCTATCTGTGCTTATTAATGAAACATCATAGGTAAGTAATGTGAATATCCAGTTGAAAACCACTGGCCTGGAAGATACTAGATTCAAATTAAGTTGGGACCAAGTCAACATTTAAAAACAAAGCTGAAATTATGACCCATAATGCTGTGTTGTCTAATATCGAACAAAGTAGCACCAGGACTCTGATAAATAGCAGTGTATCATTGTCAGTGAGAGCACTGACAATTTTCTGTTAACTTCTATAGCAAGCAGAGTCTGAAATATTTACAACATTTTACCTATACACATTTAACCTAGAGAAGGCTAAGCATTTCTTCTGACTTGACAACTCATCAATAACAACATGACAGATAAACCTAATTATTTTCTAGCACTTCTTTTTTTAAAAGGTGAAAGAACAAATCTTTGTGATTGTTTCGGGGACCACCATCTGGGAAATCTCAAAGACAGTTTTAGGTGCAAATGATATTTATGATTTGATTTTGGTAAGGTAAAATATTAAAAGTTGCCAGGAGATTTGAAAACTTCAATTAAGATAGGATCGTGGGTTACCAAGAAATAATAGATGACTTTATATTTAACCCAAGTGACAATAAATATTTTGAAAGTAAACATAAGTGGTAACATGATCGTCAAGAAACTTTCCTGAAGGAGAAACTTGTTCCTTAAATAATCAAGGACATAATAAGTTGGCAGAAACCATAGGTTTTCATAGTAAAACAGAGAATCTTGCTGTTTGTGCAGATAATGTAGAAAAGTAAAGAATAACTTTTACAGTCTATTAAGAGCAAACCAGTAATCTGATAAACATTTGACGTTGAAACAGAGAAAACACGATTTTAGTTTTGTATCAGTATAACATTTGATACTAAAGGTCTTTTTAAAAACCTTATTTAAAACCACCAAACTTATCCAGTCTTGACCATGACAAATAAAATTCCCTTTCCATGAACCTTCTACAACTTTCTGTATTCAAAATGAACACATTCATTAATGGACTCAAGACACAAAAGTATATAAACTTTTTTTTTTTTTTTTTGAGACAGGGTCTCACTCTGTTGTCCAGGCTGGGGTGCGGTGGTACCATCATGGCTCACTGCAGCCTCGACCTCCTGGGCTCAAGTGATCCTCCCACCTCAGCCTCCCCAGTAGATGGAACTATAGGCACATGCCACCATGCGTGGCTAGTTTTTTAAGTTTTTTGTAGAAATGGGGTTTCTCCACGTTGCCCAGACTGGTCTCGAACTCCTGGGCTCAAGCAATCTGCCTGCCTCGGTCTCGCAAAGTGCTGGGATTAGAGGTGTGAGCCATTGTGCCCAGCTTTAGACTTAAATTGTGTTTAATAATCAGTGTTTTAGTACTCAGGAATGGTGTAGGTATCTAATGAATACCCATTGATTAAGTCAATTTAGTATCAGAAGTTTTAAATTACCTAGAGACCTTGGAAATTATCTTCAAGCTGATGTGATTATTGAAATAAAGTTTGTCAGATAATGATTAAATTTGTTTAAATACAAATTTACCTTTTTTAGAATCTTAAGCATTAAGTAGTAGTAATGTTAGCTTATTTGATTAATAAACATGTATAAGTTTAGGAAGAACATTACAAGTAGAATAAAAATCTGTGCGTATATTTAACACACTGATAAGTCAGAGAAGACATAGCTGTTTTTTTATTTTTGTTTTTTGAGACAGAGTCTTGCTCTGTCGCCCAGGTTAGAGTGCAGTGGTGCAATCTTGGCTCACTGCAACCTCTGCCTCCGAGGTTCAAGCAATTCTCCTGCCTCAGCCTCCCGAGTAGCTGGGATTACAGGTGCCCGCCACCGTGCCTGGCTAATTTTTGTATTTTTAATAGAAACGGGGTTTTGCCATCTTGGCCAGGCTGGTTTCGAATTCCTGACCTCATGATCCCCCCACCTTGGCCTCCCAAAGTGCTGGGATTACAGGTTTGAGCCACTGTGCCCGACCAACATGGCTGTTTTATTAAACCAACAATATAAACTAGTATCAGTTACTAAAGGTTTACCTAAATTGTGTGAATTTGAATTCTGAAACTGTTTCTGAGTTAGTTTCCATGATCCATGTCTTCTTTTTTCTCACATTGAATTAAAGGTGCAATTTCCTTGACTTCTGAGCATTTTAGGACTATTCAATTTATAGAAGGACAGCTGGCCTTTCGTATCTGTGGGTTCTGCATCTGTGGATTCAACCAACTGCAGATTGAAAATATTCAGAAAAAAAATTGCTTCTGTGCTGAACACGTACAGACTTTTTTATTCTTGTTATTATTCCCTAAATAATTCAGTGTAACAATCATATACATAGTAATTATGTTGTATTAGGTATTATAACTAATCTAGAAATAAAGTATATGGAAGGATGTGCATAGGTTATATGCAGATATCGTCATTTTATATCAGACAGTTGAGCATCCCAGATTTTGTTTTTCCAAGGGAGGTCCTAGAATCAATCCCTCGTAGATACTGAAGGATGGCTGTACTTATCTGCGAGCCAGTCAGAATTGAGCTCTCTCCTTTAAGGGATTTTATAACCTATTTGAGAATATCATCTAAAGGTAGGAACATATACAGAATATACACTCACATAATGAGAGGTATAGGCCTTTCATAGTTACAAACAGACACAGAACACAAAGAGAAAGCCTATATATTCAATTTTAAAATTTTAGTCATGGATCAAGCATACGCAAATGTAACATTCTCCAGTCCCGAGATCTGCTTCTTGGTGGTCATGAAATTCCTAACTGATTTGAGCTCAAAGTAGACAAATAGAAAAAAATAATCAGGTTCTCTGTCATCTTTCCTAACAGAAAAAATATCCCTATTATAACCCATTAATTTGTTTATGGAGATTGACAAACTGTAAAATCAAAAGTAACCAGCAACAGAAATAAAGCAAATCTCAGAGTAAAAATCAGTTCCTTACTGTGCTGCAGATGAGCAAGGTCCAAAGCGCAGGACCAGGAATTGTACTCATTGTTGTGTCCCCAGGTCACAGACCAGAAACAAGGCACAGGGGAACCCAGAGGTCTTGTTACTTGGGTGGAGTCAACAGGGATCTGAAGGCAAGGTCTTCATCCTGCTTGAGTCCTGGCATCAAAACAAAGGAAAAATACAGTGGACAGTTAAGTAGACGATTTTATTCGGGATATTGCAGTGGGGAAAAACATTCACTATTGAGGAATGTCTTGAAGAGGAGGGAGAAACTTAGGGTTTTATAAAACGTGGGAATTACTGAGGAAGATAGAGGGAGGGCTAATTTTACAATATGCAAGGACATGGTGGTCCTTTGAGGTTAGCCATTTCTTGGAACACAGAACGTGGATTTCCTATCCATTGCTCTCTTAAGGAGCACAGGGCTCAGATAAAGTTAAACAGTTGTGTCAAGTGATGGGTGTGTAAGTGCCCAACTCATTCTGTCCTTTATAACATAGAATATTTTCATTTGTATTAAATAGTTTGAAGTAATTAATTTTAAATACCCAGACATGATCCTGTATAGCCTCTGAAAATCTGTAAAGGTTTTTCTCCTTTTTAAAAAAATTGCTTTGGTTCATATTTGGTGCTTCTGCTCTTTAATAGGCTTTGTTTCTAGTAAGGTCATGCTTATTTAACTTATAGATATTGAGCTTTTAGAGAGTAATGTTTCATCAAACATAAAAGGCTGTCAATTGTAATATGCAGCATAAATTTTATATGTCACTAAGGAAAAACTGCAATGAAGCAATGACACAGTGCTTTTTTTATATCAGTTGTAGGGTACGGTGAAATATCAGAGATGTTAAAATTAGGGAAAAACGTGTGTTTTAAAATCAGTGAAGTATGGCCTTGACTCTTGCTTCTAATTAAACTTTTTATGTGATAAATATGGTAAGGCATAGCTATTGTCTTCTATAAAATTCTGGTAAACCCATAAAGAGTAGAAAGAAGGTAGAAAGGCAGAAAGTGGGATAGAGTGGAAAGTGGGATGCAGTGATGATATTTATTATATAATATTTGATATAACTTCAGTCTACCAGTAGGAACCTTTGTTGGGTAGCAATTGCATACTCATTTTCACTGGGTGTTTTCTGATATTTCTCTTCTAGGAAGCTGTGATCTTAATTTAACCAGTCTTTTGTCGGACTCTTAGGATGTTTCTGTTTCTTTTACTGTTATGAATGAGGTTAAAAGCATTGTTTTTAGCTTAATCTTTATGTCTAGTCAAGATGTTTTATTAGAGTAAAATCCTGGAAATATAATTACTATACCAAAGTGTGTGTGTGTGTAAATATATGTAAAATTATAATCCATTTTATTCTTTACAGAATTTTACATACCGAGTTTTACGTATAATGGGAGCTGTATAAGCGTTGACATAATGTGGTAATAGATGAAACAGGAGCTGGCAGTTGACCAATTATGTAGGACCTTGTAGTTTCCCCTCTACTTTGTGTTTAAATTTTTGTATGATATTTATTGTTGTATAATTTAACAAAGACATACTTGTGTATATTACATGTGTAGCTTGATAAATTGTTCAAAAGCAAATACAGTGTTATAAAGTTTACCTAAGTGAAGAAATAAAATGTGAGCAGCATCCTAGAAAATCTCTTCCTACTTCTTGCACACACTACCCTTTCTTTCCTCATTATCCTGACATTTACTGATATTTTACATCTACTACTTTCACTCAGCATGGTGCTTGTGAGGTTCATCTATGTTGTTTTGGTTGATGGTGGTTCTTTCATTCTTGCTACTGTAAAATACTTGTTACTGCAAAATGTGTAACATTTTGCTCAATGGGTATAATGTTTATACCCATTGTATAAATGTATCATGGCATATTCATTTTTTTAAACCATCTGAACCTTTTTTTTTTTTTTTGAGACGGAATCTCACTCTGTCACCAGGCTGGAGTGCAGTGGCACGATCTCGGCTTACCACAACCTCCGCCTTGCAGGTTCAAGAGATTCTCCTGCTTCAGCATCCCTAGTAGCTGGGACTACAGGTGCGCGCCACCACGCCCAGCTAATTTGTGTATTTTTAGTAGAGACGGGGTTTCACACCTGTTGGCCAGGATGGTCTCCATCTCTTGACCTCGTCATCCACCCGCCTCGGCCTCCCAAAGTGCTGGGATTACAGGTGTGAGTCACCGTGGCCGCCTGAACCATTTTTAAGGGTACAGTTCAGTAGCGTTGTTAAGTACATTTATTTACACTATTGATGCAACCAATTTCCAGAGCTCTTTTTATCTTGCAAAACTGAAACTCTATACCCATTAAATAACAACTCCCCATCTACCCCGGTAAACACTGTGTTACAGTTTCATGAATTTAACTACTCTAGATATCTCATGTAAGTGGAATCAGAGCATTTGTCTTTTTCTGATTGGCTTATTTCACTTGGTGTAATTTTCTTAAGGTTCATCCATGTTACGGGGTGTCAGAGCTTTCTTCCTTTTTAAGACTGAATAATATTCCATTGTGTGTACATATCACACTTCATTTATCCATTCATCCATTGATGAACATTTTGGTTGCTTTTATCTTTTGGAATATGTGCATTTAAAAAAAAATCTTTGAAAGGCTCTTGAGAATATTTGTGCCAATTTCCACCAGGAATATATGAGTTTATTCTTGACATTACAATAATAATTTTTAAGTCTTTGCTAGTTTGATAAATTAAAAAGCTCCTGAGAACACATGGACACAGGGAGGGGAACAACACTTACTGGGGCCTGTCGGGGGAAGGAGGTGGCGGGGAAGAGCACTAGGGAATAGAGCTAATGCATGCTGGGCTTAATACCTAGGTGATGGATTGATAGGTGCAGCAGACCACCATGGCACATGTTTACCTGTGTAACAAACCTGCACGTCCTGCACATGTACCCTGGGACTTAAAAAAAATAAAAAAGAAAAAGCTCTTAGTTTTAAATTCTTGCATTTTAAATCGTGAGGTTGAATGCTGTTTTATGTCACTCAGCTATTTACATTTCTCCCTATTGTGTTTTAAAAATTATTCATGTATCCTCTTGACTGTACTACTTGAGAGTAGTAACTATTATCATAGGTATTCCATTTATCCCCGAAGTGCCTGGTACTATATGCACCACATGAGATGCCCAGGATGTTTGGTAAATAAATCAGTAACTTTCTTTGTTGATGTGTTAGAACCTCATAAAATTGTATGCTTATCATATTTTTTGGTTTGTTACAACTTTTTTAAAAGTATTTCTTAAATAGTTACATAATAAATAATCTCAAGTAATATTTGTTAGAAATTATCCAATTATCCCTATTTTAGGCTAATAAAAGTGTTTATTTTTAATAAACATTTCTTGGTTCAAAACTATAGGTATATGTTTTGTTTCTTTCAAATGTTTTTTTAAAAGTTCACTTAAAAATCATGTTATTCCATTAAATTTTGTTTTCCTACTTAGTCCAAGTTTATTGCACAATTGCCTACTCTTTATTTTTGTTTAATCGGAGCAGATAAGCTTGACTGTGACTAAACCTAGGTTGAGAATCATTACTAATCACTTTGCTATATTTACTATGACTAACCCCTGTTAAATACTCAAACACTAATAGTTTATTTAAGAAGTTTAAAGAAGAATTTATCCTGCTACATGCAGATGTCTGATAGAACCTACTTGTAGGTTGCAATTTTATGCAATTTTTGTATTCACAACTCTGGAAATTTTGAGTTAAGGTTAATTAATTGAAGGCTGTGAGATTATATTTATTGTGTATAGCTTTGGGTGTGCTTTTTTTTGATGTCTTTTATTCCTCTGAGTGTTAGAAGCGTGTGATCCTTAGAGCACCGTAAGGCAGTCACTGAAGAAAGAACTGTACCACCTCTGGTGCTTTTGCTTTAGACACTTCATTGGTGTGTAATTCTTGAAGTTCTTGTAAGGAGAGTGGATAAATGAAGAGAACAACAGAAAGAAGGGTGGGAAGGAGTTAGGGACTACAAAGAAAGAGAAGGTGGAGAGAAAACAAGGTGCTGTGTTACTTCAAATGACATTCATTGTCCTAATAGGCCCATGAGAGGGAAGTCTAATGAAGAATTTGAAAGTAAAATGCTTTTAAGGAAAGTTTCTCTGGTAGAGTAAACCCAAATAACTCCTTTAATGCAGAGGTTCCTAAACAGGCATTGAAGTTATCAACCTCCATGCAGGTAAATTGATAAAATGAGTATGGTGACTTTTTTTCTATAAAGTTAAATTAATTTTTCAGGATTCTGTTTTTTGGGAAACAGCGGAGACAGTAGATTTTAGGTATTTTCAGTGTCTGAGTGAAATGGTGGCAGTCTCGTATTGGTTGCCTTTCAACCCCCCTCCCTTCTTCACACACTTAATTTTAGGTATGTCTTGAACAAAAATAAATAATTTAGAAACTGTTTCTTTATACTTAATTATCTGAAAAAGTAGGATGTCAGAAGTAAGTGAGGGAAAATACTTCTGGAAATGCCAGAAACCGTCATGAAAGTTCAACGCCAGAACTGAGCTTTTATTTTGCAAAAGAAGCCCTTAGAGGTTTACTTGGCTCTTTGAATATCTGAGTCTTGTTTAACAGAGAACCAAAGGAGGAGTATGTGTGTATTGAGGAACAGTTACTAAAAAGGGAGAGCAGTTAGCCAGACTGGGTGAATGAAATAGTAAAGCTTAACTGTACTGACTAGTTAAGTCAGTAGTAGCTCACTGCTGCAGTCCACCCTACCCATCTGGTTTATTCCTTTCCTGACAGACTCATTCATATGTTAAGTGCTGGCTGTGTATCAGGCAGTGCTAGTGCTGGGGCATGGGGCCCCAGCAGTGAATGAAATTGGTACGGTCTCTGCCTAGTGACTGAGTCCTTTAAGAACCTTGATTAGGCTCAGACAGCTTTTTGAGTTGGCAATCTCCCCACCCTCAGATTTAGCTGAAATTAGGGTGGCCACGCATTTCGAGTCCACATTTGTGAAGAGGCCTTAACTTGCCTCCCTACACCAATTTGCCACTCAGCAATAGCTAAGTGTGAGGCTGCTTTAAGCTTGAAATCCAGGCCCAATAGTCCTGCTGAACCCCTTGCCTCTGAGAATTTAGAGTCTTAATTCACTGAACATCTTCCTAGTTGTTGAACATTCTGTGTTCTTTCTCAGCTCCATTCCTTTGTATGGGTCGGTTCCTATGCGTCAGTTGCCCTTTCCTCTCTTTTCTTTTGGAATCATTTCAAGTGGTGTTTCTCTTGGGAATATTCCCGTACTCCCCAGCCAGATAATCTTTTTATTATATAAATCATAATATAAAGCATGCCCTGCCTTCAGAGAATTTATAAGCTAGTTGGAAAAGATGTAAGGTAATAGAAATTATAATTCATGGTCTGGTGCAGAACTGTAATAAATTTACATCTATAATCTACCTATATGCTATCATATAAGTGGCATAACTTGTTGCTTTATATAATTATTACAACGAACTTATAAAATACATATGCATTTTCAGATAAGGGAGGTGAGCCTTTAAGAGACGTATTAGTGCAGAATACCGGGAATCTGGTCTCAAATCCATATTTGTTACTCTATTTTATATGTTGTTTCCTTAGACATACATGAGAAAAGACGTTGTGAAAGATTTAAATAGTAGTTTATTACAGCAGTAAGAGAGATCACAGGAATGATTAATTGCCAAGTAAACTACACAGGGGTGGGAGGAGGTCCTTTAGGCTGAGGTAGGAATGATATCTAAATGTATTGTGAGCATTTGGCGTGTTAATAAAAATATTATAACATCATTTAAAAATGGTCCCATCATATTTCATTTTATGAGCATACCATAGAGCTGGAAGTTACTACCAGTTTCTTCTTCTAGACAACACTGCAGTGAACCTCTCGGTACATACCACAAGCTTTTCTGGCTGCTCTCAAAAGAATTTCCTGAAAGTAGAATTTGAAAGGATTTTGAACACTTTTAAAGGTTTTAATATCACAATAATTTCCTCTGGAAAGATTGTACAAATGTATATAGGTCATATTAGTGCTTACCTTACTGTATTCTTTCTAGCTTCCAGTGTTACTAAAAACTGTTTGCTAATTTCCTAGGCCAGAGAGAGCCATCTTGTTTTAATTTAGGTGGCGGGACAGTTTTCATGTTTCACTGCTATATAAATTTGTTTTGTGAATTGTCTTTTCATTTTGTTTGCTCGTTTTCTTGTTGGTATTTTGCAGCTTTTCTTCATGAGCCTTTTCTAAATTTAGGACAGTTATCCTCAGTTTAACTTTTAATATGGCTTAGGTAAATTTTTTGTACATATATAGAAGACTTAAGCATTCTTATAGTTAAATCTTTCCCTTTAAGTTTTCTTTCATTTCTTTAATGCTAGAAACCCCAACACATGAAATTAAGGGAAATAATTTCAGATTCATTTTCTAGGAAAATAATTGATGCAGGGCAGGTGAGCCCAAAAGTGAGGTTTAGCCCATGAGGGTTCTTGGCTTTGCCCAGGAAAGAATTCAGGGGCACACTAGAGGTAGAAGAAAACAGCTTTATTGAAGAGGCAACGTTACATCTCTAGTGGTGTTAAGCTCCGTGGCTGCTGCTGCAGGGCAGGGCTGCCCCGTAGGCCAAGAGTAGCAGCTCAGGGCAGTTCTGCAGTCATATTTATACCTGTTTTCAATTACATGTAAATTAAGGGGCAGTTTATGCAGAAATTTCTAGGGAAGGGGTAGTAACTGCTGGGTCATTGCCGTGGAAAGGGGCAGTAACTCCTGGGTGTTGTCATGTCAGTGGTAAACTGATTGGCACACTGGTGGGCGTGTCTTATGGAAAGCAGATTCTGCCCCATCACTGTTTTAGCTAGTCCTCAGTTTGGTCTGGTGTCTGAACCCTGCCTCTGGAGTCCAGTCCCGCCTTCATTGTAAACTCTAAAAGAGCTTATAATGTAGGTTTTATGTATTTTGTATATCACATAGTAGGCACTGAATAATTGACTGGTGGTGGAATGAATTGTCATTAACATGACTTTTGTAATAACCTTGCTGGTTCTTGGCACCTCTTCCTTTATGCAAAATGCTCTCATTTTTTGAGAATTAATGAACTAATAAAAGACAAAGGAGCGCCCTTTCCTTTTAGGCTTCTTATGCAAGATTTCTACCCCTTTTGTACCACTGGGTATTATATCTTATGTACCTGGTTAAACTTTCTTCCTGGGAATGGTATTTGAATGAGAGTTAATGTAGAACCTGTCATAAAATCCTTATTTCCCCTTGTTTTAATGTAAGTAGGTTTGCTTTCCTTTCAAATCCTGCTAGTTTGTTAGTGCTTTTTCAAATTAATTTTTCAGAATTTGAGAAATAGGTGATTATTAAAATGAGTTAATTTGGTCATGCAGAGAGCTGTTCCATATAGTTTCCAAATTTAGTGCTAGTCACAATTTCCTCTAGAAATAACAAGTGAGATAGTCCCTTTTTTTATATGAGGATGCTGAAATCCTGTACTAACCTTAAAGCACATATATTTGAATTCTGGACTACCAAAAAACATTGTGTCTCTAGGATATCAGAAAGTGTTCTCATTGGAATTGGAATTCACATGGAGAGGAAGAGAACTATAACAGTAGGGCTCTTGCCTTTACTTATATTTTAGATAGCTTTGTTGAGATACAATTCATATGTCATCCACCCATTTAAAGTGTCCAAATCAATGGTTTTAGTATATTCACAGATATATGCAACCATTACCACAGTCAATTTTCAAACATTTTAATCACCTTGAAAAGAAACCCTGCACCATGTAGCCATTACCAACCCCCTGCCCGGTCCCCAACCCTCCCACTGCTGAGTAACTGCTAATTTACTTTCTGTCTCTGTATATTTTCCTATTCTGAACATTTTATATAAATTGGATCATATAATATGTGGGTTTTTTTGTGACTGGCTTCTTTCACTTAGCGTAAGATTTTCAAGTTTTGTCATAGTATAAATTATAGTGCATTCATTTATATGGTGTCAACAGTATTCTCTTTAATGTGTATCTTTGTCCATTTGTATTGCTGTAAACTTTTGCCAGGGACATGGATGGAGCTGGAGGCCATTATCCTCAGCAAACTAACACAGGAACGGAAAACCAAACACCACATTTTCAATGAGAGCTGAACAATGAGAACACATGGACACATGGGGGGGAAACAGCACACACTGGGGCCTGTTGATGGTGGGGGGAGGGAGAGCATCAGAAAGAACAGCTCATTGATGCTGGACTTACTACCTAGGTGATGGGTCGATCTGTGCAGCAAACCACCATGGCACACGTTTACCTATGTAATAAACCTGCACATCCTGCACACGTATCCTGGAACTTAAAATGAAAGTTGAAGTGGCCACCATCACCACCACCACCAACAGAAGAATACTCGAGGCTGGGTAATTTATAAAGAAAAGAGGTTTACTTAGATCACGGTTCGTCAGGCTGTACAAGAAGCATGGTGTCAACATCTGCTTCCGGTGAGGGCCTCAGGAAGCTTCCACTCAAGGTAGAAGGAGAAGGGGAGCCAGCGTGTGCAGATCATGTGGCACGGAGGAAGCAAGAGGTGGTGCGGGGCGGGGGGAAGGTGCCAGGCTCGTTTTAACAACCAGCTCCTAGGGTAGCGCTTGCTAGCACTCATAGAGAGAATTCACTCATTACTATGAGGCTGGCACCAAGTCATTCATCAGGGGTCTGCCTCCATGACACCAGACTCCTCCCATTAGTACCCACCTCCAACATTGGGGATAAAATTTCATCATGAGGTTTGGGCGCCAGATACCCAAACTATAGCAGTGGGAGTACTACATTTTGTTTTTCCACTCCAGCAGTTGATGGACACTGGATTGTTTTCACCTTTTGGTTATTATAAATAATACTGCTATATAAATTCATGTATAATGATTTCTCCATATCTTTGTCAACGCGTTGTCTGACGTTTTAATTATAACCATCCTAGTGGATATAAAGTGCTGTCTGATTATAGTTTTGATTTGCATTTTTCCAGTGGTGGTGATTATCTTTTCAGGTGCTCATTGACCATTTGTATATCTTTTTTGGAAGATTGTTTCACTATTTTTTTGTCTTTTTAAAATTGAATTTTAAGAGTTCTTTGTATATTCTTTATATAAGTCTCTTATTAGATACATGATTTGCAAATATTTTCTCCCATTTTTGTGGGCTGTCTTTTTTACTTTCTTGATTGTGTCTTTTGCATAAAAGTTTCTAATTTTGATGCAGTTGGTTTATCTGTTTTGTCTTTTGTTGTTCGTGCTTTTGTATCATATCTAAGACCTCATTGACAAATATGAGATCCTATAGCTTTACCCCAGTTTTCTCTTACACATTCTGGTTGTTGTTACATTTTGATCTTCTATTCATTTTGAATTAATTTTCACATATGGTGTGAATTAAGGGTCCAACTTCATTCCTTTTCTTATAGCTGGTTGTCCTAGCACCGTTTGTTAAAAAGACTGTCCTTTTCCCATTGAATATTTTTGGCACCCCAGTTGAAAATCCATTGACCCTAGACATACGAGTTTATAGCTGGACTCTCTCAGTTCTGTTCCACTGATCCCGTGTGTCTGTCCTTATGCCATTATCACACTCTTAATTACCTTTGTTTAGTTTTGAAATTGGGAAGGTGAGTCCTCCAGCATTACTCTTTTCCAGGATTGTTTTGGTTGCCTTTATCTTTAAACGCCTTGTATTCTTGCACTTGGAATAGTGCTTAGCACATAATAGCTTTTTGTAAATATTTATTGCATGGATGGTTTAAAGTACTCAATGCATGCAGTTTGAATGGTGAATTAATGTCTTTAAATAGAATTTCCTAGCTGTGTCTGTTTTTCAGCATTTTGTAACATATCCCAGTCCCTTGTTATTTCTATGTTAATAAAAGTTACTAGTAATGATATATATCTCGGGAGTATAATGCTTTACTAAAGGTCTTGTGTGCACTGAAAAAAGAATTTTAGAAGCGAAAAAAGAACAACAAAGGCCTTAGTTTAACCAACATTATATTAAATTATAAGGAAATGTTTAGGTTCTATACAGTTAAAATTATTCTTGGTAGAGGAGGGATACATTTGTATAATTAAATGTAGGTTTTCGGAAATTGAGTGTTTCCTGTCTTAATTAGTATATTAGAATTTTTATTTCGATGATCCTAGCTAAGTCAAAACAATTTGGTGGCATACTTGTTTCTGTTAATGATATTTCCCCCTCAGTAATAGGGATGAGGGTGATAGAACTACTAACTGTTTTTCTGACAAGCACGTAAGGAACTGCCAAGAGTGTTATTTATTTGGTCTTCTGGTACCATCTGTAGTTGAGAAGTATGTCACTTTCTATTTATTTGGATATTTTAAATAGTATTAGGTTTGTAAAAGCCTAAGTTTTAGAGTTTTTATATGCCTAAAAATTAGGTCCACAAAAAATCTTTGTGATCTTTTGTAAGTTATAGAAACAGGCCCAAAGAGGTTAAATTTTCACAAAATAAATGGGTTGAATTTGACTATCTGTAAGTGTTTTAGCCTCCAAAATGAGGTGATTTTTGCCTTTTTATGTAAAGTAAACATAAACATATACATATTTTTGAACAAAATTTCCTTTCTCCTTTGCTTCCTAAAGACACTGCTGTGTGATCCTATTATATAATACTTAGCTACATCATGTAATCAGTCACTTTGAAGGTTGAAGGTCAAGTACTGGTTTTCCCAAATGTGTGATGAAGCTGATTGTGCGTTATGTTATTATAACCCTAAAAATACACAGAACAGTTTTTTTAGATTAAAAAATATAAATATGCTGGGTTTTAGTGATTACAATAAACTCTTCTTACGCTATTTGGAATAGACTTGAGTATAGAGTGACTGTTTCAGATATTAGACAGCAGGCTGTACATGATAGTAATCCCTGAGGCAAGGGAAACAAATAAGGCCAGGCTTTTGATTACCCTGGCTTTTGCCTGGAAACCTATTCCAGACTGTGTTGCGGGGAAGAATACCAGGCAAAGCAGAGTGAACTTGCTGAGTGGAGGAAGCAGATTGGAGTTTGAGGAGGCTGAGGCAGTTGGAAGTTGAGGTTGGAGTTCTGGAGAGGAAGGAGTGATCTAGAAAAAGAGCTCCAGAAAATTTATATAAGGCCTTCTTGAGTCGTTGATGAGTAGATTGTGTGGAATAGAAACTCTGCAAATAAGGCAAAGAGCTGTTGAGGAGCTGTGAGCTGTGAAAAGTTTGCAGAGCCCACACAGGGCTGGGAGGCACTTGAGTACCAGTTGGTTGAAGTGGAAAGTCTTTGTTGCGTTGGACATTTGGGACATTCAGTAAAGACTTGGAAGGATCACAGCTTAGTAGTGAGGTTAGGCTGTTTCTAGAGGAAAAGCTTCTATGGAATTGACTTTAACCAAGCTTGAAAACAAATCTTAAAAGGATAAAAAGGAATTTGAGATAATTTAATAGCCTACAAAAAAACCCTCAAAGTTTAATCCTCTTTAAAGGAAGACAGTAAAATCCAGGTAACAACAACAGAAAATGTATAATATCCAACATCTAATCAAAATATGTCAATAAGCAAGAAAATATGACCTATAACCAGGAGAAAAATTAGTCAATAGTAACAATCCTAGAAGTGTAACAGATGATGGAAGTACCAGGAGTTGCTAAAATAGTATGATTATAATTAGGCTCAAGTATTTAAATGAAAACATGAATATTAGAGAAAAAAGATGTAAAAAAGATCCAAATGGAACTTCTGAAAATGAAAAATACGTTACGTGAAATGATAGATATGCTGGGTGGGATATCAACAGATTAGACACTGCAGAAAAACATCAGTGAATTTAGGGATATAGCAGTAGAAACTATGCAAAATGCAATGCAGAGAGAACAAAGACTGGAAAAGTGTACCAGAATACCAGTGACATGTGGAATAGTGTCAGGCGGTTAGCGTGTGTATTGAGTTTTAGGAGAAAAGAAAGAGGAGAACCGAAAAAATTTTTTTAAGAAGTAGTGGTTGTAAATGTTTCAAATTTGATAAATGCTGTCAACCATAGATTCAAAAAGTTCAGTGAGTTTAAAGTAGGGTCAACACAGAAGAAACCCTGTCACTGGAAGATCACTGCTTAAATCTCTTGTTCCTCTATAGTTTTTACCTTTGTTGCCTGTCTTAAAAATAGTTTTGTTCTTGTAGTGGTTTTTTTCCTTCTACTTTTACATCTCTGGTGTTACATTTTGGAAACATTCTTCCTTTCTCTCATTTACCACAGTTTCTTCCATGTTTGCTTAACATCTCTTTCTTTCTATTTTTGAGACGGAGTCTCTCTCGCCCAGGCTGGAGTGCAGTGGCGCGAGCTCAGCTCACTGCAACCTCCGCCTCCCAGTTCAAGCAATTCTCCTGCGTCAGTCTCCCGAGTAGCTGGAATTACAGGCGTGTGCTACCACACCCAGCTAATTTTTGTATTTTTCTAGTAGAGACAGGGTTTCACCATGTTGGCTTGGCCGGTCTTGAACTCCTGACCTCAAGTGATCCACCCGCATTGGCCTTCCTTAGTGTTGGGATTACAGGCGTGAGCTGTGGACCACGCCCAGCCTTTCTTTCAGAAGGCTTTTTTATTGTGTTTAGTCGTAACCTTGATTATGAACCATTTAAGGAGTTTTCTAATTATTCTTATTAACTGTTACTAGATAAAATGTTAATTTATGTTAACCATTTAAAAAAAATTTTTTTAAACTCAAATTTGTCCGAATAATTAACCATTTTTGTAGGGTATATGGAGGCCAGTATCACTCCAAACATGAAACAGCAGTGTGTCATAAAAGGTGGAAAATTATTTTATTCACTGCATCTTTTGACACTTATATGATTTTGTAAAAAAGTCAGTTTTGAATAAATCCTATGTATGTGGGTGGGTAGAGGTGTCTCTGTCCCTGGCTAGTACAACAGGAACTTTGTAGTTTGAGCATTGGCTTTGAATTAGTTATGCATCTGACACTTATATCCTTTAGGTGTTGAATACATGTCACTGTGAGATATTTCTAAAAGAGAAACTTGCTAAATGTGTGATAAATACTAGGTCAATGCTTCTTACCCTTTTTTGTGTCATAAACTGCATTTGAGAACCTAATGAAAACTATGGACTTTTCTTTGTTTGTTTGTTTGTTTGTTTGTTTGAGACAGAGTCTCGCTCTGTCACCCAGGCTGGACTGCAGTGTCTCCCTGCCCACATGTGTGCACTTTTCTAAGTAAAGAGTCCTGGGCCGGGCACAGTGGCTCACGCCTGTAATCCCAGCACTTTGGGAGGCCGAGGTGGGCAGATCACAAGGTTAGGAGATTGAGACCATCCTGGCCAACATGGTGAAACTCCGTTTCTACTAAAAATACAAATATTAGCTGGGCGTGGTAGTGCGCGCCTGTAGTCCCAGCAACTCGGGAGGCTGAGGCAGGAGAATTACTTGAACCCGGGGAGTGGAGGCTGTGGTGAGCCGAGATCGCACCACTGCACTCCAGCCTGGGTGACAGAGTGAGACTCTGTCTAAAAAAAAAAAAAAAAAACAAGAAAGAGAAAAATGCATGCATGCACATAATGAAAATTTACATTCAAGTTCAGGGAATTCTTAGTTTTCATGGTTGAAATATAAAGTAATAATGGCTTTGATGCCACAGCTATTTTTAAAATATTCCCTATGTTTTGTACATGTTGTATTTAATGATACACTGTTAGACATTTCTTTTCTAAAACTATATGTGGTATTTATATTGGGAATACACAGGGCCTTTAAGCCCCACATTTCCAGTAAATTCCACATTGACCTTATGTGTTCAACCACAATTACCAATTACGTTCTCCTTAGTGAGGAAAGCTTTAAAGTTAAAAATAGGAGGTTTTATTTTTTCTTCTAAAATTTTTTAGACTCATTTAAATTTTTCTCAGTTTACATAGCTTTTAATTAAGAAAGTTATAGTTTTCATGAGACAAACCTGTGTGTATCTTTGATTACATCTTTGATGTTGGGTCATGTTTTATTACCTCTTAGATAGCAACTTGCCATTTGTAAGGTTTTTATAATTCCAAAAGGCATTGTTCCTCTCAAGTGAACAATTCTTTTCCCTCTGTTAGCTACCAACAGGTCACTTGGTCTTGATTGCTGGAGTGTAGACAGAAGCTGTTGGGGATAAGACATAACGTAGTCTGTTCCTGCTCCTGCCTGCTGCTTCTGGGACTCGGATTCACTCCGCCTGCCCCACCCTGGGTTGTCATGGGCTCCTTTCACTCTCAGATGAGCCCTGCTCTCTCCTGTCTCAGATCCTCTGCACATGCTGTACCTTCTGTCTTAGCAGCCCCCCACTTTCTGCCTCCTTTTTCTGTGCAATTTCTTCGGAACTTTTATGTGTCAGTTGAAATGCTCCTTCTTCAGAGAAGCCTTCTTTGTTACCATCTTCCTAGTTCTCCAGGTTAGGTCCTATCTGCTGGTGGGCTTTGTCCCAGCACTTTGTTCCCTGTAATCTTCCTCCATAGCATAATTCATAAGTATACTTGAAATACACTTGTGTATGTAATTCTGTGCTAACTCTCCAGTTCTCTGTAGATTGAAAGCTCCATGAGGGCAGGAACAGTAATGTGTTTTTTCCTCTACTCCTAGCACACCTCTTGTCTGGTGGGGTCATTGTTGAATGAAATAAAGACATGACTGTGATTTCCCTTGAGGTGCTAATAGTGTAATTTGACACACAATGTGGTATGAAACAGATAATGTGTATTTTCACCTGTAAGTAAATCAATCAAATTATTAGAATAAAGACCCAAGAAAACAAAAAAAAACAAAAGTGAATAAAAGAAAATGGTGTACATTTAACACATTTATATCTTCTTTGTCTCATCCCTTATAGAATCCTGTTTTCAATGAAAAAGAAAAAAGAAGAGTTGTTGTTAATTCAAAATTACCGTTCCCTAGTTTGAAAGGCTGTTTTCTATTTCAACACACGCACACCGGCACACACCCAGGCTCATGTGAAAGGAACGGAGACTCAAGCCTGATCTGATGAGGCTGTGTTAGAAGTGCTGCACATTGACCTTCCTGGAACGCAGAGTGTAATCCCTGCATTTGGTACGGAAGATAAATAGCTATCTGAAGGAGACGATTTCAGTTAGACCTTTTATTTGACATATACAGATAAATAAACCAGGCAGAATCCCCACTTTTTCTCTCATTTAACTTGTAGCCAAGCTAGGTCTCCCTGGAGCTGAATTTAGATGCAGTATCTTATCCAGAGTAATACCTTTATTTATAGCTGAGGAAATTTAGGATGGTTAAAAAGCTTCACCAAAGATGTGAGTCCTAGAGCGGACCAGAGAACTGGCTCTCTGAACTGCCAGTCCATACTTTCTCCTGGTCTCTCTCTCATGCTATGCTCTCTCTCCACCTGGAGGGACTTTGTCCCACAGGAGAAGTGATCCTTATCAGTGTGAGCTACAAGTGAATGGTCTGCTGAAGATGGGAGGGCCTTGGGCCTTAGAGTTAGATCAGGACTCCAGTTATGGCCCAGACACTTGCAAGATGAGCCATCCTTTTCCCTACTCTGGGGCTCAGGAATTATGCTAGTACCTGTAGGAATCCTTGGGTACCTCGCATGTAACAGAGCACCTCCCATCATCAATAAGAATTGACCTCCTGTGCAAAGGATCCTTCCCTAAAATGGTTCTATAAGGTTCTGGTAAAGATGAAATGAGACTGTATGATATCGAGCATAGTACTTACCAAGCATGGTAAGTACTCCGTGCCTAACGGTAGCAATTATACTGTTACAGTGAAAATTCTTCATAACTTAATGGGTAACAAATTACAGAGCTGATTGAAAACATAAACAAGTATAAATGTTTTATTCCCATTTAACATAATTTTATTGTTTTTTGACCATTGTCTTAATTTTGAGTCTTCGTTCATCTGTCTTTTTCCAGCTTTATATGAAAAGGTAGCACTGGAGTTTAACTAGTACAGAATTTTTCAATCTTCCACCATCTGTGTAACACCTTATAATTTTTGCTGTATCCTTGTACCACCTATCCTATTATTTTCCTTTTTTTAAAATTTATTCTCTTTTTAGGCAGTCTATTTTAGAAGGAAACTTTATCATGATAGTAAACATGGAAAACCTAAATAATTTTGCCATAAATAGAAAATAATTGTAACAATAAATGACTGTAAGCACATTATACATGTGCCTCCAGAAGTCTTTTAAATACCACATTATGAAAAACATTGCATGTGGTCTTCCATCATGCTAACCTAAAGCCGTTAATCAGTATGTTTAGGTTATGCTTCTTCACTCAGCCTCCTGGAGGAGGAATGCTAACTTCTCCATGAGGATGGAAGAGCAGAATTT
This sequence comes from Homo sapiens, assembly GCF_000001405.40. Taxonomy (NCBI): domain Eukaryota; kingdom Metazoa; phylum Chordata; class Mammalia; order Primates; family Hominidae; genus Homo; species Homo sapiens. Next base: position 161,023,504 of record NC_000006.12, read on the forward strand.
GCCGTTAAAATAGGAAGAAAAGACATGATTTATGGCAGTTGATCAGACTCTGTTTATGGCACTGGTGCATGGATCAGATGCTGCTATGATGATTGTTACAATAAATATTTCCAAGCCCTGTTTCAGACTCTCTGGTCAGAATTTCTTGTGGAAGATACTGAAATCTGTATTTTTAACAGGAAGGTCAAAAATTCTGATGCACATACCAGTTTTGGCAGTCACTGTTTTAAATGGCATTTTTTCAGCCTATCATTTTGAAGTTGTTTACAACCACAATTACCAGTGTATCTGTAAAGAATTGCTTAATTTTATAATTTTACATTTTTAAGTTTAGTTTTGGCTCTTAGTCTTTTATACCTGTACAGTAACATCACAATTATTAAGCAGTCATGAAACTATTCAATGTAATATAATTAAGTCTTAAATAAACTTTTAATTTTGGAATAGCTTAATTTAAATTTTCTCTCTTTTATTTTTTTAAGAGACAGAGTCTCACTCAGTTGCCCAGACTGGAGTACAGTGGTGTGATCATGGCTCACTGCAGCCTCGAAATTTTGGGTTCAAGCGATTCTCTTGCTTCACCCTCCTGAGTAGCCGGGACTACAGGTGTGCAGCACCAAACCTGGCTAATTCTTTTGTTTTTTTGCAGAGATTTGTGTCTCACGATATTGCCCGGGCTGGTGTCAAACTGCTGGCTTCCAGTGATCCTCCCGCCTCTGCCTCCTAGAGTGTTGGGATTATAGATGCGAGCCGCCACACCCAGCCCCTAGAGTAGTTTTAGATTTAGAGACAGTTGCAAAGATAGTACATAGAATTCCCCTATACCCTATGCTCAGTTTCCCCTTTTATTAAATTTTATATAACTTCATATATTTGTCACGACTAATGAACCAATATTGACACTTTGTTGTTAACTAAACTCAGAACTTTATTCAGATTTCATTTGTTTTCCCCACATGTTCTTTTTCTGTTCCCAGATCCCATCCAGGGACCACATTAGTTGTGTCTCCTTAGCCTCGTTGGCTGTTAACAGTTTCTCACACTTTGTTTTTGATGACTTTGACAGTTTTGAGAAGTAATGATTAGGTATTCTGTAGAAAGTCCCGCAACTTGGGTTTGTCAGGTGTTTTTGTCTTAGTTTGAGGTTACGGGTTTTTAGGAGGAATACCACAGAGATTAAGTGACCTTGTCATCATATCATATCAGGGGCACGTGCTGTCAACATGGCTTACCACTGATATGTTAAGCTTGATCGCCTGTTTGTTGTCAGGTTACCCCATTGCAATGTTACTTTTTTTTCCACCTTTCTGTCACCAGAGTGTAGCCCACGCTTAAGGGGTGGAGAGTTCAACTCCACCTCCTTGAGAGGAAAGTATGTAAATTATTTGGATTTTTATTTTCTGTACAGGAGATACGTATGTATGTATGTATGTACCTGCCTGTCTGTCAGACTGTCTGCCTATCTGTCCATCCATCCATCCACCCACCCACCCAGCCATCCATCCATCCATCCACCCATCCATCCATCCACCCACCCACCCAGTAGTTATCAATATGGGCTCATGGTTGTAATCCAGTGTTACCTCATTTGTTTTGTTGCTCAGAGTGTCCCACCTTCGGCCAAATGGGAGTTCTTTGAGTTGGCTCCTGTGTCTCTGTAACATACCTGGCAGTTCTGTTTTTGAATATTCCTCACTTGCTGGTGATGCAGGATGCTCAGCTCAGGCTTATACTGCAACTTCCTTGCCCTAGTCCCACAATCAGCCATTTCTCCAAAATTCTCTTATTGGAGAGTGGTATTGGGAACCAAGATCTAGTCCCTGGATGAACGAGCTCTTTCTGTGCCGTCAAAGCAAAGGTGAGAGATTTTTGTGCCCAGGTTGTCCTGATTTGCCTTCCCTACTCTAGTGTCCGTTTTCCGTCACCAAATACTTTGGGAGAATATGTCATATGCTCATATTTCCTTGTTTTATCCTCCCAGCAGTTGGAACTAATGTTTTGAATGTGTGATGTGTGTCATAGGCCATATTTACAGTTAACTAATTTTGTAATCCAAATTTTAAGAAAAAGTAACTTCAGCTAAGGAGATCCAGGCAGCTCATCTGTCCCCTACAGAGATGGTTCTTCAGTTGCTTGATTTCTAAGAATGCCAATGATATAGAATGTTTTTTCCACAAGTAAATTTAATTTAGAATAAGGAGATTTTAAAAAATGTTCTTATTTGCGAGAAGAGTGGGTAGAAGATCGTAATTCATTCTTGAGTGAATTAACCTTTAATTAAAGTTTTAAACGTTTTTCTTGTTTCTCTGTAAACTCTTTTATGTTTTGTCTTTGGCATAAGCCCCTTTGTTTGTTTTTCCTCCCAGCTTTGACAGTTTTTTATCTTCCAAATTTTCCTGTCTTAGACCTATGGTTCTCTTTAGTTAAGCCTAAAACAACTGTTTGAATGAATCATGATGTTTATTTTTTGTTGCTTTCCCTTGAATAGTTTTTGGTTGGCATTTCATGGTAGAATGTACCCACAGTGACACTGACATGTAATAATTTTTTTCTTGTGTTTCAGGGACATGCTCCCACCTGTGCTCCCTGCTGCACTGCTGTGTGGTCAGGCCCAATCTAAGAAGGAAGGCTTTGCTTTTTTTTTTGAGATGGAGTCTTGCTCTGTGGCCCAGGCTGGAGTGCAGTGGCGCGATCTCGGCTCACTGCAAGCTCTGCCTCCTGGGTTCATGCCATTCTCCTGCCTCAGCCTCCCGAGTAGCTGGGATTACAGGTGCCCGCCACCACGCGCAGCTAATTTTTTTTTTTGTATGTTTAGTAAAGACGGGGTTTCACCATGTTAGCCAGGATGGTCTTGATCTTCTGACCTCGTGATCTGCCCTCCTTGGCCTCCCAAAGTGCTGGGATTACAGGCATGAGCCACCGTGCCCGGTCAGAAGGAAGGCTTTTCTTACAGTTTTGATTTTCTTCTCACTATCCTATACACATATGATCTGGTATTTATCCTCAAGACTTTGGATGAAGATATATATAGACACACTCACACAATTGTTGGAGGTAGTAGATTTGGTAAAAAATAAAGCACCCCTGCAATATGTCTTATTCTTTGTCTTCTGTTTTTAAGTACTCAAGTATTTGCAACAAAATTGCAAAAATAACAGAAATAATTATGTTTGTCTTTTTATGTGTAATGGGACTCATTTATATTGGAATGCCCAAAGGGTTCTCTCTCCTTTTTTTTTTTTTTTTTTTTTTTTGTAGTTCTCATTGGAAAGTCTGGTTAACCAGAATTGAATTAATTAGTATGAAGTCTTTAAAGTGTTTTGTTGTGTTGTATTTATATAGTTTTATGAGAGTTTATTTTCTGAAAGCCTTCATCTGAATTATAAACAGCTTATAATTATTTTTATTTCTAATGATGAGTAAAAGTTTATCCATGTGGGCTAATTCGTCTCTTTATATATATTTGTTTTCTATCTTTATGCATTCTTTTTTGTTTTATTTAGTTCAGGACCGATAAAATATGCTATATAAATCTATGAGTGAAACAGAAGACTTTATACCAGAAGACATAAATCAGGCAGGCCTCATCCACTTACCTACTTTTCCAAGACCTGGTCCTATTCATTTCTTATATAAAACTTACCAACTGATGTTCACAGCATCATGAATGCGGATAGCTAATAGTCTACTCTAGAATACAGAATGTGATACAGGCAGTGATTTTTCTGTCCCCACCAATTGAACTATATACTTAACAAGAGTTTCTGGTTTGTTCCTAAATCTATTTAGATCTTTACTTTTTAATTGTGATTGTGTAACTCAGTAGACTATTATACAAATCTATGAAATGTGAGTGTGAAAGAGAATTGTAGCTTCTACATAAATTAACTTGGAATGCTTTGCAAAGTGTCAGTATAGGTGAGTAACATTAAAAAAAAATTGCCTTCAAATTAGGTGTAAGAGAGAACTGTGAAAGCTTAGGAAGAAAAATCATGAACATCCAGAAAAATCGCTCTACAAAAGTCTTTAAATTCTTGTTCTATTTTAGAGAAATAGAGTGGAGATTGTAGATGATGCATTGTGCAACATCTGATAAGCCAGAGAGTTGACTCGGAACTTCCATCAGTGGACCCGCACTAAAAGACAAGGCTGTAGCCCTCATTAAAGTAGTGGTTGATTAAAACCCACTCATGGGTTTAAAGCAAAAATAAAATGTAAGGTTTGTATGTGTGGCAGTTACATATTACAGTTTAACAAACCATACCAATGTTTAACAGCTTAAAATAAAAACCATTTATTAGCTGTCATGGTATTGAGTGGTTTTTCTGCTACTTACGGTGTTGGCTGCAGAGCAGGGACAAATGGAGATCCAAAATAGCCTCACTCATAGGGTTAGCAAGTTAAGTTGGTGCTGGCTGTCAGCTGGGAGCTCCCCAAGTTTGGGCTAGCTAGCTTCTCCTTCATGCACTTCTCCACCTAAGTTGGGCTCCTTACCTGGTGGCTAGCTTTCCCAGCAGTACACAGGTGGCCTTCTTAAGGTTTAGGCCCGGGACTGGTCCAGTGTCATTTTTGCTACATTGCTTGGGTTAAAGCAGTCACAAAGTCATTCCACATTCAAGCGTAGATATGCAGGTTTGTGACCATGAGGAGGCCGGTTTCATCAGGGACCCCCAAAGTAACAGCTGCCACAGTATATTTTTTTTGTCTGCATGTTTCATTGTTAATGTTTTTGTATGTATGTTTAATTAACTGTCCAAGCACAAGTTCCAGTGGCATTGGATAAGACTTCTAAATTAAAGTGTTTACAAGAAAACAATAATTTGATTAAAACTTGTATTCTTACTAGTAAGTGTGGGGGCGTAGGGATTTCATTATTGGCAAAAATCAACAATCCTTCATTCTTGTAGCCTTTAAAAAATATATTTTAAAAATAGTGAAATGTTATTGTATTTTAAAAGGATTTGGATAATGATTAAATCCAAAGTATAGAAGATAAACTTACTTGATTTGTTTATTCAATCAGCAAGTAGTTTTGAACACATAATCTGCACCAGCCACTGTTCTAGACACCGGAGAAGCAGTGGTAAGGATGACAGGCTCCTGCTCTTCAGTAATTGTTGGGGAGATAGCTTCTTATTCATTTCCATAGGAAATCTTTTTTTTTTTAAATCTACATTTGTTTTAAAAAGATGAATTTTCATTAAAAAACAAGTCTAAATGTCTATCTTGAAAAATAAGCAAGATTAGTTAGGTTTGTAAAGACCCTATGCTCTGAAACAGTGCAAAAGTTAGATAGTACATGTTGGATAAGCTCGAGGTTTGACCGTTCACCTGGAGGTGAGCTGATAAATGTTCAGCTGTAGATTGATGATAAAGATAACTAACATTGATAAATTGACTCGTGTAATATGGATAACTTATTAATAAATTGGCTCTTGTAGTATGAACCAAACATACAACCTCAAACTGAGCTTAGCTCCCTTTGATTAATACTTCAGGCCAAGCAAGCTATACACATTGTTTAAAGAAAAAGGAAACCTAGAAAATCTATCCCTTCTGCCTATGTCCCTCCTCTCTTTCCCCCAATAGCAGAAATCTCCCTAATACTTATTACCTAATAGAGAATAGGTGGAGGTGGATGAGAGAACTTCATACAGATGAATATTATACTTCACAAGTGGTTAAAATATCCATTTATTTCGAAGGATGTCGCTAAATGAAGTGTTTTGGGTTTTTTTGGCGGGGGTGGTGTTGGGGGGCAGGGGTGGCTTTTGCAGAACCACAGATGTTTTCAGACTCATCTAATCCGACTTCATCATTTTACAGATAGCTATTTCAGGCACCATTGTGGTTTACCTAATATGTCAGAGCAGAACTATTTAACCCTAAGTAACTTGAATTTTTGTTTTGTTTTCTTTTCACACATTTTTCCTCTAAAACCTACACCAAACTCCCTTGGGTTGAGTTCAAGACATACTTTGCCTAGACCAGACTGTAGTGTAATAATAGTACTTTAGCAGGGTTTTATGGTAAAAGAGTGAAATGTTTTACGTGACTGTCAGAAGTTTAGTACCAGAAAGACATTTCACATTTGCATGTTATTAAACACAAGTAAGACAAATGTTTCAGGGCAGCTGATGTAGACCTTGTACTACTTTGCTCATCCCAAATCATTGGTATACATGTAAACATTCTGAACTGGTCGGCTGACCACATTAGCTCATCTCACATGAACGATTACAAAATGAGGTTTTGGATGCTTACGGTTAGTTAATTGAAATGATGCAAGTTCTTTTGAACTTACCACTAGTATTTTTCTGGATTTTGTGTATAAGTGTTTTGTTTGTTTGTTTGTTTGTTTTAAAGAAAAAAGAATAAAACTTTGCTTGATTTCTTTCCCTCCTATTAATATGTTACTTCTAAGCTAAGGCCCTCAAACTAAGTTTTCTCTGGCTGCTTTTAATATTCTTCTCTTCGTCATTGGTTTTCAGCAATTTGGTTATGATGTACATAACAACAGACTGGGAGTTTTCTTTATAGTTCTTTAGCTCAGAGTTTGTTGGATCTGCGAGCTTATGGTTTTCTCCAGATTTGAAAAATTTTCAGCCCTTCTTCAGAGATTTGTTTCTGTGCCTCCCTTCTCTAGTTTTGGACTCCAGTAACACATGGTTAAACTGCTTGATACTGTCACACAGGGCACTGGTACCCTGTTTTTTTATTTCTCCCAATCTTTTTCTCTCTGATTCATTTTCAATAGTTTCTGTTGCTGTGTCTTCAAGTTCACTGATGTTTTTCTGCTGTGTCTGGTCTGCTGTTAAACCCATATTTCAGATATATTTTTTATCATTATAATGTCTACTTGAGTCATTTCTGGTCTGTTTCTTTGGGTTTTTCTCCTGGTTTGGATCATATATTTTTTTCTTTGGTATTTTTGTTTGTTTGTTTGTTTGTTTGATTGAGACAGGGTCTTGCTTTGTCACCCAGGCTGGAGTGCAGTGGTGCCAGCTCAAGTGATCCTCTCGCCTCCGTCTCCTTGAGTAGCTGGGACCACAGGTGCATGCCACCACACCTGGTTAATTTTTTGTATTTTTTGTAGAGATGGGGTTTTGCCATGTTGTCCAGGCTGGTCTCAAACTCCTGAGCACAAGCAATTTGCCCACCTCAGCCTCCCCAGGTGCTGGGATTACAGACATGAGCCATTGCACTTGGCTGGTAATTTTTTGATAGGATGGAAAACGTTGTGAATGTTATTTATTAGGTGCTAGACTCTTTTTAAAAGAAAGTTTCTTTAAATACTGTTGGATTTTGTTCTGACATGTAGGTGTTACTAAGTTGCTTGGATGGAATGTAAACCAGTATCTTTTCCAACAAGTGAGAATACCATGTTGACTGCATTAAGTAAATCCTAAGAAAATATTAAATTCATTTTAATTACGAATTATAAGTATAGTGGCTGGTAGTACCATATGACATTTTCCTAACTCGTTTTCTGTGATGCTTAATGGGTAAGGAAGGATAAAATATACTGTGTTTTGTCTTATTTTAATATTTTGTTTATGACAGTATTCATCTTCGTTTCAGTGTGATTTTTAAATGTTTACTGCTAGAATAATTAGATAATTTAGAAATACTTTGAAGTCAGTAGTTGTTCATTGTGTCTATGTGAATGTATAAGGATAAGACAGATGACTTTTGGTTTTGTAATAAATGCAGATCGGAAAACAAGGGACTGTTAGCTTCTATAGAATTATTACAAGGATTTATTCTTGTACTTTTATTTGACAGTACAGCCACATTAATTTTTCCATGTGTAGAGAAATAATTTGTCTACAGTTGGAGGTTAGCACAACACAAATATTCTTCTGGGTCCCCAATGTAAAGTCTTCATAAAAGTTAGCCTTTTTATTATATGTACTTTCTTAGACCCTCTTTATCTGCTAAAGCACAGGACTCAATTCCCATGGCATGTAGATCCCACAAAGGTACTTCTTTATTTATTTTTAAAAAATCAGCTGTGCTTGTCTTTTTAGATCGTGACGCTCCTCAGGTCGGGGGGCTTGATATTTGGATCACTGAGGTTTGATATTATCAGTCCCTCCTCACAACAATTCTCCTCCACTTTCACTCTGCATTGCATTAATTCATCATCCACACAGTACTGCTAGATACTAGCAAAACAGACCATTTTATATTTTTCGTAGCCCTTTGTTTCCATTACTTTAATTTTAAAAACACCTTTACAACTGAATTTCCTGAAATGGTTAGAATGTAGACCTTTAAAATTCCAGATTATTAGTCTTAATAGTCTTAGAAAGATTCAATAATGGATGCTTCACCCACCAGGACGGCTGAGACATGGCCTTAGCTTCTGAGTTCACATTCCTCCTCACCACAAAGGATGTGTTTTGAAAGAGATTTTGTTTGCTATTTCGTATCTGACTTCATTTTTCTAATTATCCTGTTATTCACTGCTGTCTGGCTTTGATGTATTTAACTGACTAAACATTTATGCTATAGTTTCCTGGCAGTTACCATTCTTATGTGTTAAGTGCATTATTATGAAAAGCACTGAATGAGAGCCCTATGCTGGACAGTCCTGGAGATTCAAAAGTAATAAAATATAGTCTTTTCTTAGTGTTTCCTTTAAGTATATTAAGTGTGGAAATTAAATGAAAACAGAAACCTTATAATATTGAGTTCGAAAGAATTCAGCAGATGTTTCAGATGTTAAAAGTGCTTCCAGGCCTACACCATGCTCAACTCCTAGGTGAGCTTCTCTCTTAAGGTGAAGCAGATAGATGAGCAAGAACTCAGGTTCCCTCACTGAGCACAGTGACCTCCCAAGGCCTGTGATATGAATGGTATCAAGCATTTAGTGAACACTTACTATATTCTGACTCTTTTGTTAAGTGTACATTATTGGGTTTAATCCTCATAGGAATAAGTATTTATAAGTCTAAGTATTTATTATCCTTATTTTGTAAATGTACACAGAGAGAAAATTTGTCCAAGGTCCACCCAGCTAATAGGCAGTACAGCTAGGATTTAAACGTGGGTCTACTACACCACCAAGGCTATGCTGCTTTTCATTCCAAACAGTGTTATTAACCACTGCAACACATGGAAAATAAATAAATGATTTTGGTGCTTATAGCCATGTTCTTTAATCAGTCAAATCAACTATTACACAGTGAGTATAGAAGAAGTGGGTGTAAGAAATTTCAAGTTAATCTGTAAGATTACACTTTATTGTGTGATGTTATGAGACTTAAATAATGTAGTTTAAGGAAATAGGTGCATTTAAAACGTATTTCTAAATTTGCACATGGTTTGAAGTTAGCTTTCAGGGCATTTAACTCGCATGTCTTGTGTGTACACATATGTTTAGGAGCACATGTGTACTCTCATAAAGTATTTAGAGTGGTCTTTAAAATGCAGTTATTAAAAAATCAGTTTTTGACCTATTAGGGATCTTTTGTAGATTTCAGTACTGTAAATTTTTATAATTCTGCAATATTTTTATTTTTCAAAAGGTAATTTATTTTCTGCAGTTTTGTCAATCTAATTCAGTAATAATGGGATCATACATTGTAGAGTAGCTTTTCTGTTTCCCTTATGACTTTGAAATAGCTTTGATTTTATATCAAGATATGAATTGCCAGGAAGAAATGGATTATATACTGGATATAATTTGGAGTTATGTTTATAAAATATAAAGCATATTTATATAAATATAAAGCATATTTTATAAATGTTCAGAAAGAGGTAGACTGTGATGGTACATATTTGGAAAGAATTTCATGATTGATTCCTTCTGTTTCACTTTTTAAGAATTGTATTTGCTCTCAATTTGTATCATTAAATTTTATTTTGTTAGCTTTGAGAAATTGAACTTTGTCAAAATAGTGATATTATTTGAGAAGTTGGCCAGGGATAGAGAATTGGCAGGCAGTGTTTTTAGAGAACAAATTAATGAGAAATTGCATTTTGAAGGTGAAAAGAAACAATTTTGTTTTTCCTCTTTTACATCATCCTTCTCCCCTGCACCTTGAGTTCTGCACTGTGGTTTTTTTCTTCCCAATTTTTTATTGTGTTAAAATACACATAAGATAAAATTTAATGTTTTAATCATTTTCAAGTGGTTCAGTGGTATTAAATACATACATAATGTCTGCACTGTAATTTTTATCAGACAACTTAGGAAATGGACCTGCCATACTTTCTTGGTACTTCGTGCTTTGCTGTGTGGATCATAGCAAAGTGCTCCTATACATTCTGTTTTCTGTGTGTTTCAAAGACAGAAAGAGGCGAGGCACTGAAGTTCAGAGCAGGACTGAACTTGCCCACTCATCAATTAAGCTGTCAGCAGCTAGCACATAAGTACATTTTTAGTTCTGTCTGATTTGTATCTTCTAGTCCTTCGCTGGTTTTTCCTTAAGGCGTAAGTTTTTAGTTCTATATTTCATTTGTGTTAGAAAGAGCTCTATAAACAAGAGAAACAGAAAGCATAACAGCTCTACCCATGTGGTACTCCTTGTTCATGGTAGGAGAAGCGGCAGTCACAATTATTACTCTCTTCAAGCAAAAGAAAAGTTCTCCTTTTGAGTTTTCACAGGTAAAAATGAGGAGGAGCACAGTGCTGAAGAGATTTTTCTGTACAAAAGTTTTACAAAGAATTATTTAAAAAATTATAAGTAAATTTGAATTCACTTAACTGTGTTGCTGAATATTTTCCCTGCACACTGTCTTTCATAGGCAAGAGGGCACATTGGGAGATTCAGCTTGCAAGAGTCCTGAATCTGATCTAGAAGACTTCTCCGATGAAACAAATACAGAGAATCTTTATGGTACCTCTCCCCCCAGCACACCTCGACAGATGAAACGCATGTCAACCAAACATCAGAGGAATAATGTGGGGAGGCCAGCCAGTCGGTCTAATTTGAAAGGTGAGTCTTGTACTTGAAAAGAGGTGTACATGAGAGGGTATGGCACTTGATTGATTCTTTCAACAATAAAGTTAGCAATTTCTTTTATTTTTAATTTGATTTTAATGCTCCTGTAAAGTTCAATTTTTTTTTGAATTATTACCATTAGTATTAATAAAATTGACACATAGTTTTCCAGAGATAGAAACGTTTGTCCTGAGTAATGGTTAAAGCCAGCAATGCACGGGCATTTGAAGAAGTGAAAGAGGGCAAATGTTTCCCAGTGTACTAATACAAGATGGCAACTGGTTACATGGGATAGATGGCCTTCTATTCTTTCAGTCTCTTAGGCTGAAGTTTCTAGATTTCCTCTGCCCAGAAGTGGTGTATTGGGGATTTGAGGAGAGACAGAGCCAGGCTGTCTTCCCCTGGATTCCCTCTGCTCTCTGCTGGTGCCCCGGGGTGCTATCTTTAGTGTGTAGGGCTCTCTTTTTCATACTAAGCACAGTGACCCCACACCTAACAACCATGACAGAACCTGCTTTCTACTTTTCTCTTTATTTAGGATCGTAAAGTCCACATATTGCTCTATTAGACACGGAGAGTTTCGTGCTTTTTCTTTCCCCCCAACCTCCTTTTAGTGGGACGTAACTGTTCTTTTTTTGTGGTAGATGAATTGAACGATACTGCGCTGCAGCCTCCTTGTACCCTACGTGATGGCCTGGAATCTTGTGGTTTTAGAATTTACCTGTTAATCTCAGCAAACCACTTGTCCTAAAACAAATGCCATATATTCCTGGAATTTATTCAGCTATTACTGCATGAGATGCGGATTTTAGTCTTCATCTTGTCTGAGAAATTTCTTCCTGTTGACCTCACACTCATTTCTACCTCTCCCTTTCTGTAGTCTGTGTTCATTCTTCCTCTTTGTTCTGCTTCCTCTTTCTGTAGATTTCTTCCATATATTGAGCTTTGATGGCTGTTAGTGGCATCTTCACTTTGCATTCCCATCAGAGCCCTTCCTCAAGAGAGCAGGAGGGCAAGAGAAGTGGGTTTTGTTGTGTTGATTTGCTTGAGTGAGATGCTATACAAGGGAAGTTCCCAAGCAGGAAAGAGTCTTTCCCACAAATGATTTTTCCACATAAGATACTTCTTATAAAATTTGATTTGCTGTAATTTTTTAACCTGTGGCCTGTACTTACCCCTTTGGAAATTTCCCACTGCAATTTGTCATCTTGAAAATCATTTATTGTACATTTTCTCAAAGAAATTTCTCAAATGACTATAGAAGTTTCTTATCTATGGTAGGAATCAGTGAAGTAGCATCTACTGAATCAACATTAGTTAATAAATATTTGCTTCGTGTTAGTAAAGTAAGAAGATGCCGGTAGTACACTTGCTTTTTCTTGTTGATTCATACTATTTTAGAACATGAGTTGAGAACACAATTTCCCCATTTTATAGATTGAGAAACTGAGGCCCAGGGCTTCAGAGCAAATCTTTTTAAGTCCAGAAGGCTTGAGATAGTGTCAGGACTATTTGTACCACTAGTTCTCCTGGTACTCTATTTGGACTTTTTCCTAGTACAAGCAACAGTGTTTACGCTTATCCGAAGGCAATATTTGAGTTGACTTTATGGTCTTTCACTAATCAGTGAGACAGCCAGTCACTAGATGTTTGTTGAGGTTCTGTTGTCCTGCTGGTCTGTGCGAGAGATAGAGGGAAAGGAAAGGATTGGCCCTTTTCTTCCACAATTTTTAAAATTGTTTATTTTATGAAATTATAGAATTTTAGAGCCAGAAGGAGCCTCAGAGATCATTTGCTCAAGTTCTTGCCGTTTTTCAGATGAAGAAGCTAATGCTCACAGACCCTTTGATTTATAGCTATCTGATAGCAGACCCAGGACACCAAAATCCTTAATAAGTTATTATTTTTCTTATTGCAAAAGATTATGTGTTTGTTGCAGGAAATTCAGAAAATACAGACAAAAGAATAAAAATCACCCATTAAACCTAATACACAAAAGTAGCTTCTTTTACCATTTGTAAAAGCCTGACTACAGACTCTCTAGCTTTTTGCTATATATGTTTATGCTGTACTATCTTTACTATTTTATAATGGCTTCTTAAATTTAATGTTTTATGAACTTTTTTTGTCACAGAATAGCCTGTACTTTTAATTTAAATGGCTGCTATATCATTTGTAGCAGCATCTTCACAGTTATCATTAGCAATTACTGGGTGCTTACTATCGGTTAATCACTGTGCTTAACACCTCAAAAGAATTATCTTTTGAATAATGTAATAACCCAGTGAGGTGTTGGTCTTATATAATACAAATTTTGAGTATCCCTAATCTACATGCTCCAGAGTCTGAGGCCTTTTGAATACAGACATGATGCTCCAAGGAAATGCTAATTGGAGCATTTTGAACCTCAGATTTTTGGATTTGTGGTGCTTACTCAGAAAGTATAATGCAAATATTCCAAAATCCAAAACACTTCTGGTCCCAAGCATTTCAGATAAAGGACTTTAAACCTGTACTTATTTTACAGCTGAGGAAACTGGCTCAGAGAAGTTTTACGGCTTTCAATTTTAAATGTCTCAGTCACATGTATATTAGAAAGTGGCTTCACATGTATGCCAGCTGGTGAACTATTTCTTGCGGACATTCTTGTTTATGAATACCAAGACAAGGTGGAAATGGGACGCCAGTGGTAGACAAGTGGGCCATTTTAATGTCTTAGTCTTGGTTGTGGTGGTTAATAGTCTTTGAGAATTTATTTGTTCTCAGACTATTGCAGCACAGCATGGTGGACAAAAGCAGAATCTTGGTTGCTTGATCACCCGGACTCCAGTCCTGGTTCCGCTATCTTCTGCGTATGCAGCCTCCATATCTCGTTTCTCTATCTGTAAAATCATCTGCCTTATAGTGTTGTTAGGATTATGTATTCAGTATTAGTTATCATCATTATTATTGTAAACTCAGGATTTCTTTTATTTTTTCTGAGACGGAGTTTCACTCTTGTTGCCCAGGCTGGAGTGCAGTGGCGCGATCTCAGCTCACTGCAACCTCCGCCTCCTGGGTTCAAGCAATTCTCCTGCCTCACCCTCCCGAGTAGCTAGGACTACAGGCATGCGCCACCATGCCCGACTAATTTTGTATTTTTGGTAGAGACGATGTTTCGCTATGTTGGCCAGGCTGGTCTCGAACTGCTGACCTCAGGTGATCCACCTGCCTCAGTCTCCCAAAGTGCTGGGATTATAGGCACGAGCAACCATGACCGGTTGTAAAGTCAGGATTTCTTCCCAACACTTACTACTTTTTTTCTTGACTTAAATCTTAAAGCAAAATTAAATAATTACATTGTTGACATATCCTTATTAAATGGTGTGCCCATTTTTAGGACCCTGAGTCTTAGATTAAATGATTGTCTCAAGTCGTGTAGCTACTGTTCCTGCTTCTGTCCTGCCTGGACTACACATTTCCTTGTATGTCTTCCTAGTCCTTCGCTTTATCTCACTACATAATGCTGCTAGTACATTTTTTTTGTTACTGTTGCTGTTGCCTGTCTTTCCTTCCTTCCATCCTTCCTTTCATCCTCTTCCTTTCTTTTCTTTCTTCTGCCTTTCTCACGCTTTCTCTCCTCACTTCCTTTTTTCCTTTCCTCCCTCTGTTCTTTCCTTATTTCTCCTCCATTCTTTCCATTGAATCAGCATTTGAGTGACTCCATAGGCATGTGCTCTTTTGGAAGATGAATAAGACCTAGTTCCAGGTCAAGTAGGGAGTACACAAATGACCAACAGTACAGGCTCATCTGGATGCACACAGGAGGCAGTATTGAGAAGACCTGGGCTTGGGAAGACTTCTGGAACAAGTGACATTTGTGCTGTGACCTCAAAGCTGAGTCAGGAAGACTAGTATTTCAGACTAGCATGTGACTCATAATAATATATTGGCCCCCTCAGTATTTTGAGGAGCTTTTTAGAATTAATTAGATTGGTCAGATTTATTTAAAAAGCTGTCCAAGGAAATGTGAACTGTTACATTATTTCTTTCTCACTGCAACAGACAAAGGATCTCTGAGTCATACTATTAACTTTAGAACTGCGGTCAGAGTTGGACTCATCTTTTAAATAGTCACCAATAACATTTGCATTTTTCAGATTATCTATTGTTGTGTAACAAACCACTGTGAAACTTAATGGCATGAAAGAGCAATTATTTTATTGCTCATGATTCTGTGGTTCAGGTGTGTAGGCAGGGTACAGGTCATCCCTGTCCCAGGATGTCTGGAGCCTTGGCTGGAATAGCTCAGTTGGCTGGAAACATCCTGGCTTGGCTGGGGCCCTAAGTCTGAGCCCTCATTTTTTTTGTCTGCATAGTGTCTGCTGGATGTCAAACATCCACGATGGCTCCCTCACTCACATATGTGTCTGTTCACTTGGGCTGAGAGAGCAGGAACAGCTGAGGGCTGCTGGCACAGTTTTCTTTCCATGTGATCTTCCTCATGGCTAGCCCAGGGTGGTCCTTGGGTAATTGGACTTCTTACACGGCAGCTGTCTTTCCTCAGAGCCAGTGTTTTGAGAGACTGAGGTGGAAATCGCAGGCCTTCTTAGGCCTTAGCTTCCGCGGTTGTGCAGTGTCACTTCTGTTGTGTTCTTTTAGTTCCATGAGGCTGGCCCAAATTCACTGTGGGAGGCGACTGCTCAAGGCAGCGGTACCAGGTCGGGTTTGTAGGTTACTTTGGGAAGTTAACTGCTACATGCATTCATTGTAAAGCTTTGGGGAATTAGAATCTGGTCAGTCATACTGTCTTTGCTTCCCCTAGCCCCGAACCCGCAAAAATGCAAAAAAAAAAAAAAAAAAAAACATCAAGTACATCCCTGAAGGAATGTAAGGACTCAGAAAGGTAACTGAGGGGACTATTTAGAGGAAGAGATAAGAACCAGCAATACTGGCTTTTTAGCTATGGTAGCCATGCTCATGAACTGATTATACAGGTATGATTCTTGCAATGTTATTACCTCTGTAGGCTCAGAGTAGCTACTATTGTCATGTATTTGTTTTTTATAATTGTAAATTCAGATCTTGAGAAAATTGATAGCCCTAATTGTGGTGCATATGTGTGATTAGACAATTGACTCATTGAAATTATTTGATGGAATTATAATAGTGCTAATTTCCTGCAAATCATTACCAGTGACATGTTAGAATGGGAAGTTATAGACAGGAGAAATTAGAGATAAAACATTGGTACTAAGAAGAATGCCTGTAAATAAGCTCTTAGTTTTGTAAAGATAAGAGAGATGCACACCATAAATACAGCATTATGGAATTTTACAAAGTTAGTTGAATTAGAACATCCAACATATAACTGCTCTTTTCCACTTAGTAATAGGTGGAGGCCATTGTTCTGTGTAAGGACATTTAAAGTAAGGTATTGTTTGGATCATTATAACCATGTTCCCTATAGTGTGTTTCCATAGTTTCAAACAAAAAATACTATTGCGGGGAGCATCTCTGTTCATTTATCTTTACTCATATATGGAGTATTTTTGTAGATTAGATACCTAGTGGTGGAATTGCTGTATTGAATGGTATGTGTGTTTTAATTTGGTAGATATTGTGCGTGTCATTCTGCAAAAGGACAGTTCATTTTGATACTCCTACCAACAATGTATGAATACCTCGTTTCTTTGTATTTTCTGTATTAGTAATATAAAAATCTGCCAGTTTAGCTGTTTAAATTTGCCTATTTCTCATTTTATATTTATCTTTACTAAGGAGAATATAGTTGGGGATTGTGGTTGAATGCATAAGGCCAGTATGAAATTTACTGGAAATATGAGGCTACATACAAGTACTATATATAGACATTTACATGGTGTGTGTGCAACCTACACACACACAGATATATACAGCTTCAGAAATGTCTCACTTGAATCACAGTATTTAATTGAATGCAACTATTTAGAAAACGTGAGGAATCAAAGAAAGTTATCAAAGCCCTATTTATATTGCAATCACGAGGATTGTGGGTCCCTGGAAACTGAATGCAGATTTTATTATGTGCATGTGTGCATTTTTGTAAGGAGTCCATGGTTTTCATCAGATTCGCAAATGTAGTCTGTGACCCAAATAAGGTTAAGAAGCATTGACCTAGATAACATTTACCATGAATTTAACAAAACTGCTCATCCTGACATGAGTTGCACTCAAAGGATAAAGCCATCAGATGCATAGCAAATTCAAAATTAGTGCAAAGGCTACAAGGTCTCTTCCACACTAGCCAAGAACAGAGATAGTCCCCCAACTCCACATTTGCTGGTTTTACAGAAAAGACTTTTTAAAAGGTCATAAATGTCAACAAGTTTGTTCAGTAAGAGGATATTATCTTTGTGCAAATAGGGATAGAAGGGAGGCAGTGACTCCTGTGAGGTCCACCCACTTTCTCCCCATTGATCAAACACTGTTCTGCATGCTGCTGGCCAGTGGGTTCTGCAGGTGCAGTTAACCTCCCTAACCTGTTGATGTTGAGTTAATGAAAGGGAGATTGTCTTCCACGGGCTGGCTTAATCAGAAGCCTGGGAGCCACCTGGAGGAGAAGGTGAAGCAGCCATGTCCAGAGTGTGAGTAGGAGAAGGCTTTGGGTAGGAGAAGGCCAAGGTGGAGCAGAGCTAGAACTGCTGCCCTGGAAGGAGGGCCTGGTGGCTTCCAGCCCAAGGAATAGCAGGAGGACCAGCCCTACCTCCAGCACCTGCCCAAGGAACATATAGCTCTAGGATTCACTTTCTCAGGACCCAACCTGACTACCTATCGGCAAATCCATGAATGCTGACCACGCTGATGCCTTCCCAGCACCTGTCTGTGGGTAACTATCTCTTAACAGGAGCCCCTGGGGGCTGGAGTGCAGGCTACTGGCATCTCTACGCTGCCAGTCATCCCTGGTCCTTCCCCTAACCCTGCCGAGGCCCAGGACCCTCAGCCCACAGGCATCTGTGAGGGAGCAAGGAAGTGAACCCCTGAGATACGGCCATTTGCAGGGCTGTCGCATGGAGGACTTGCCTCTAGGGGCTCAGCTGGTATGGGGGCAAGGGTAGGGCCAGGAGCCTGTTGTCGGCTAAGGCTCCAGAGAGGACCACGGCCATTGCAGCAGCAGCTTTAGATCTGGTGACTTTCAGGAGCACAGGAAATCATCTTCCTGATGCCTCGGACATGGCCCCCAGGTGCACTTGGGCCTCAAGTGGGGCTGCCCTGTGCAGCCACTCCCACTACAGCTTGTGCAGGGCTTTAAGCCCAGTGCCTTGTCTTGGACCTTTTAGACCAGTGTGGCTGTTACATAGAGAGTTGACGAGCAGAAACTGGTATCTCCACTTCAGGTGTGGGCTACTTGTGATACCAGACGGACAGAAGGTGGACAGACTCCAACCATGGACAGGCAGATGCTCTCAGGGAGGGTAAAGGCCTTGAGTTATTGTTTCTTTTTTTTTTTTTCTTTTTTTTTTTTTTAGAGATGGGGTCTCGCTATGTTGCCCAGACTGGCCCGGAACCTCTGGACTCAAGTGATCCTCCCGCCTCAGCTTCCAGAGTAGCTGACCCTCCTGGTGCGTGTCACCACCACAAGTTTCAGGCCTTCTTTTAAAGGGCTTTTATGTGATTAAGTCAGGCCCACTCAAGAAAATCTCCCTTTTGATTAAACAAAAATGAGCTGGCTAAGGACTTGAATTATATCTACACAGTCCCTTCTTAGCAGCAGGATGTTAGTGTATGTTTGAACAGTGGAGAGAAGAGGCTGTGTACTACAAAATGGCTGCTGCATCTCATGGCCCAGCCTTCACCAAAAGCTGAAAATTCCTGTCTTATTGGGAAAACTTTCTTAATTTATATGATAGTTTAAAAAAAGGCATTTTATCTAAAGACTGTGTTTGAGTGTTGGGTAAGGATGATTAGCTCTGCATTACCTGAAAGTCTGCTATCTGACGTCCCAGTTGATGTAACCTACCAGGTAAACTCGAGTGAACTCAGTGAACAGGCTTGATTTCATACTGTGGTGAGTGTTAAGTTTAACACCACAGGAGCTAGCTGCGGTGTTATTTGAGATTATGCTTTTGGATAATGGTAGTCATTACCAATTTATAGCAATTAAGATTTTGATACGTTTTGGACAATATTTAGTCAAATATAACTGTTTGTTCTTAAGGTTGGTTTAAGAGACAGTCAAACCATTTTTTTCCTTAAATGTTTGTTTTCTTTTTAATATAGCAGAAGGAAGTACATTCAGTTTATCTCATAGTTTAAGTAGGTGAAATAGGAATTTAAAAGACACCCAAGCCAAAACCCTTTCCAGGGCATTGCTGGGCGATCATTGTCAGCTTCATTTTGCATTTCTATTCTAGCACTGCCATAGCGGGATGGTCATCAGCCATAGCTGGGTTACAGAAGTAGAGCAAATATTTTGCAATTTATATGAGAATTTGCACACACACACACACACACACACACACACACACATCCCTGTTAGGAAATATCTCAAGGTGTGTGTGTGTGCATGCATGCGTGTGCCTATATATATGTGTGTGTAAATGTGTGTATCTGCTAACAGTAGTGAAATTAGAATGTTTGCTTTTTAAAGAATATCATACTGATGTAAAATGGAGCTGGTAAAATGGTTACAAATCAGATTCAATCTATATAGCTAGTGAAATGTTTGTGTCAACCAGAGTGGATTTAAATCCATATTTCAGCTCTTTAGTCTAAACTTAGCCTGACTTTCAGGGTCCTGGTTTGTGTTTCCAGGCTTCCATATACAGGCTCAGTGTTCAGCCACACTCTTTTCTTTGCTGCCCTTGTGTCTCTTCTTTGCTGGCTTCAGATATGCTCTTGCCTTCTTTACTTCCCTTATTTAAGCTTCCATTCTTCGAGGCCCCAAATCAAGTACTTGCTTTTACTTTAAGCCTTTACAGACTAGTTAGCCTGTGTAATCTTTTGTGGTACTCGCTGTCTTAGCCTTTCCTTGGTCAGTTGGTACTGCCTTGCAAACACCTTTGACAAGTCCAAGGATGGTGTGGTGGCACCAACTTGGGCTAGGACCCCTGTTCTGACATTAACCATGTGTCTAACCATCTGTGTTCTGTGATAATCTTCATCATCATGTTGTTACGAAAATTATGACAATGTCTGTGAAGCCCTTACCTGGAAAATGGAAGCTGGATAAAGCAATTTCTCAAAATGTGGAGCCATTGTAGCCATGTCAGAGATACGTGCACTTTAGCAGGAACGCAGTGATTTCGAACATACACTGAAATTTGAGAAGCTTGAGCTAGATGATCTCTAAGTCCCTTCAGGTTGCTGACTTGTCTGGTATTCTAGTTCATCATTACTCTGAAGATCATCTCATACTTAAAGATTATCCATCTGTTTACATCTCATTTGAGAGCTCAAATAAGGCTGGTTTCTAAAATTTGGACAATATGTATATGGGAGAACATAAAAATTGCAAGAGTTTGATTAAAAATACAATTAATACATATTCTAAAGAGCCATTTTTAGTTGTAGATGGTGGGAATTCATTTGTTTGTCTTATATCCGTCAGATGAACCATATTGCTTGTCATTGGTTCCTTTCAGTTTCATTATAAAGTTTTCTTTTAAAAAAATTTTTATGTTCTTCTGATTTTACCAGAATTATTGGTGATTGGCCAAAGGAAAAAGTGTTCCAGAGGTTTGCTTTAATTGTGCTACAAAAATCACACCATTTCATTTATAGTCACTTGGGAGATCAGGTGTCCCATTCATCAAGTTATTAAGAACTATTTTTGTAGTCCTGTAATTAGAACTTGCCAAATAAAACATTCTATATAGCTAACTCCTGTACTTTTTATTCATTTTCCTTTTCAGAATTCTGCTCTGTTTCCATTTGACTTTTGTTAATTGCAAAGGAATTTAGTATTAATAGGAAACCAAAAAACAAGCACACCTGTCCATCAGTAATAGGCTTTTGGTTGTTATTAAAAAGTTCCTTAGTCATGTCAGAGTGGGTAAAGACAAAATGTAAAAATGCTCAGGGAAATGACTAAGTCTATAGACTACCCCCGCACCCAACACCCTAGTGTTGTTCTCAGATCTCCCTTAAGTCATAAGTCCCTTATGATTTTATAGAGGCCTAACTGGTCATCAGTTGCCAGAAAGCACTCTTGGATTTACTCTCTGTGTCAGTCCATTTTGCGTTGGCTATAAAGGAATACTTGAGACTGGGTAATGTGTAAAGAAAGAGGTGTATTTGGCTCATGGTTCTGTATGCTATACAAGCGTGGCACCAATATCAACTCAGCTTCTGGTGAAGCCTCAAGAAGCTTTTACTCATGGTGGAAGGTGAAGAGGAAGCAGGCATGTCACATGGAGAGAGAGGGAACAAGAGAGAGCTCTCACATGAACTAATAGAGCGAGGACTGGCTGGTTCCCGTGGGGAGGGCACTAAGCCATCCATGAGGAATCTGCCCCCATGACCCAGACATCTCTCATCAGGCCCCACTTCCAACACTGGGGGTCACATTTCAGCATGAGATTTGGAGGGGGCAAATATACAAACCAAATCACCCTCTCCTTCTGTCACAAGTATATTATTCTAAAAATGTAGCTACTGCTGAGGTAGAGTAATTGGTATATCCTTTTTGCACAGTAGCTAGACACGAGTTTGTCTATTTTAAGTTCGAATTGCGTCATTATTTAAACTAAGATGTATGAATTTATATTTTGTGTATATTTTTCCAAAACCAACTTGGGTTTTGTTTTGGGGTGGGGGGGAACAAAAAGCTTCTCTGTCCCATCTTGCTCCTTTCCCAATTTGCTTTTCCTTAAACCTACTATGTAGGTCCAAATATTAAACCATTGCTTTATCTGAACACAAAATTTCAAAAAATTGTGTAATAGACTGTTTTGTATGCTGTGAGATAAACTTAACAAGATTTGTATTTAACCTATAAAAGTTACTTTTTCAGGCTTGCTGAAATGAGATTATGTTTATGTGGAAAAATGGGATTGTGGCATTTTTTCTTAGATTGCTTTCATTGTTGGAATAAAGGTCTAGGGTGAGAAGCTTCATCTGTTATTATTTTCATGTTTTGCCCCTGGTAAGTGTAGCACAGATTTGGAATAATGCTTGTAGCCAGTCTTCTGGGACTATTAAAGTCATTTAATCCTTAGTTTTCACTTAGGACCTTTCAATCATAGATTAGAAGAACTTGAATAAATTATATAAGAAAAGTAATATTTTTTCACTCTCAACTATTACTTTCCAATTATAAATTGTATGCAGATAGTCTGTGGCCATTATCAATAATGCACCACATTAGTTCTATAAAGTATTTTAAAAAGCCCAACGCCTGAGCCAACAAGATTGTTTTTTATTTCACAATTTTTTGTTTTCTTTGACTCAAAATCATTTATTTGGGTGTACATAATAGTTAATACACATTCTATTCTAGGTCTTCATTGCCTTTCTTCTGCACACTTTTCTTGGATGTTCTTATCTACTATCACGATATTAAATAATATCTGTACATACTAATAATTTCCAAATCCATTTCTCTGGATTTCTCTCCTAAGCCCAACATGTGTGTTTTTTTAGTTACCTATAGATATTTCCACGTGTATGTCCCATAGGCACGTCAAATTCAGTGTATTAGAAACTGAACTCATTTTCTTTACCTCCAGTCCTACACAGTGATACAATGTATATGTCATTTTGTGTTTCCCAGTAATAAAGTATAATATGAATTATCTTGAAAAATATAGTGGAGTTAAATGTGGAAGCACTGGTCATTTTTGGTTTCAAAATACCATGGGTTAACCAAATAGTATGTATGTGCTCTGTTAATAAAGGTATAAAAAACACAGTTAAACGCATCAGAGCAAGAGAATTAAAGTTGGTCTAAGCAATTTTTTTATATAAATAAGAGTTGATAAGCATTTATAGCTAGAAACAATAAAACTGTGAAGAAATTTTCTTAAATGGACTATATGAAAAGTTTAAAGACATTTAGAAGTAGATTAGTACTAAAGATAAAAATTCTATCTTAAAAATTTTAAATTTAAAAAATAATAATAATAGTAGTTTGTATACTAAAATACAGCAAAAAATCTCTATGGACAGATTGGTTTAAAACCTTTTTTGATGGATCATAAAGTAAATTTAAGGCAAGTTTAATATAAGAAAAACCAAGCTATAAGTGCTCTTTGGGAAATTTGTTTAAAAATCCTTATTTTAAGACTAATTTGAATCGGTTAGGAAGTAAATTGGTTTTAAGCAAATTTTCATTGGTGCCTTGGTTTGTGGTATATTGGTTTGTAACCCATGTAAATATACCCTATTCCATCAAATCTGAAGATATACTAATATGTCTTTAGATATTACATTCACAACTAATCTCTTATATATTCCCAACTAATCACCTAAAACTAGGTGATATTATATACTAAGAAAATTATATAATAATTTCTTAGTATAATTATTATATTAATATATATAATAAAATTCTTAGTATATAAGAAATATATACTAAGAGATTATAATATATTCTAAGGTAAAAACAGCTTATAATTGATGGTGTGTTCTTATAATTGGAATTTTTATTTATTTAAAGAGATCTTTTATACTTTCTGATATGTAGATATATATTTCACTTATGCATATATATATATATATATATATATATATGTTTAAAAAAATGGGCCAGGCATAGTGGCTCATGCCTGTAATCTCAGCACTTTGGGAGACAGAGGTGGGAGGATTGTTTGAGCCCAGGAATTTGGGACCAGCTTAGGAAACATAGTGGGATCCTGTCTCTACCCAAAAAAAAAAATTAGCTGGGTGTGGTGATGCGTGCCTGTGGTTCTAGCTACTTGGGAGGCTGAGGCGGGAGGATCACTCGAGCCCAGGAAGTTGAGGCTGCACTCCAGCCTGTCTCAGAAAAAAAGAAAAATGTAAATGAAAAATATTGGCAAATATGTCCCTAAAACTTACTTATATCATCATTGATTATATATAACGTTCTAATTTCAGAGATGTTAATGTATGAAAAAATGTGTGTCCTAGATTCAATGAAATAAACTATGCCTTGAGTGTAGAGGGTAGATTGAGATGGCGTTATAGGTTTGGGCATTATCGATATATGATGTGGAAATGAATGAGATCACCCAGGGAGAAGAGATCTAAGATTAGCACTTGGAGAAACATTAACATTTTATGTAGTGAGCAAAGCTCCAAGGAGGTATTTGAAAAGAAGGGACTAACTTAAGGAAGTGTAAGAACCCAGAAGCAACAGAATGAAAGGATTTCAGTAACGTAGAGCAATTAATAGTGTTAAAAGTGCCATACAGGATGTATGTGTGTTCATTTTAAAGCTTGGAATCAGATTATAGAACCTCTTCTAGATGTTTGAAGGAAGTGGGTGGTTTTTGCTTTTTTCGCATTAATTGTAAATGATTTTACATGGCAGTATAACATACTAAGCAAATTATACCAAATTAGTCTATATGTCTTCAGTCTTGCTAATTTTAAATTTAAAATGTTATTGCCCACTTGTTTGTGGCAAAGGAGAAATAAAGGAATAGAATAAACTAACGTCAGTGTTTTTGTCTGTCAACTGTCTTTCAGTTTTTTATGAGAATAATCTTAGGGTGCCTTAAGTATTCTTGCATCAATGTGCCTAATTTTATCAATGAGAAAAGTAATCCAGATAATTTACGTGATTTCCTCTTAAGTTTACACATTTAGCTAATGACAAATGCAGGAATTAAATATATTTTCTCATCCAGGTGTCCGTCAGATCTCCCATGCTGTTTCTTCCTCCTTAAATTGAAGGTGATTACTTACGGAAATTTGGTTAAATGATTTGATAACTATGCTTTGTAGCATAGAGAGAAATAAACAGCTAGTTTAGGTAATTAGTTGTGAATATAAGAGAATACAGCAAATACTGGAAAAATGGATAATTTTTTTTAAAATATAGAAAATGTCATATATATTTTTTGATTCCTTTAATTTTTAGGATATGGTATGCTTTTTTTTCTTCCATTAGCAGTCTGAAAATATAAATATGTGTGAATACCAGTTTTATTGAAAATATTGAGAGTAGCTTCATATTTTAGAGTTATATAATGTTCTGTTTATTTTTTTTTTTAATAGAAAAAATGAATGCACCAAATCAGCCTCCACATAAAGACACTGGAAAAACAGTGGAGAATGTGGAAGAATACAGCTATAAGCAGGAGAAAAAGATCCGAGCAGCTCTTAGAACAACAGAGCGTGATCGTAAAAAAAATGTACAGTGCTCATTCATGTTAGACTCAGTGGGTGGATCTTTGCCAAAAAAATCAATTCCAGATGTGGATCTCAATAAGCCTTACCTCAGCCTTGGCTGTAGCAATGCTAAGCTTCCAGTATCTGTGCCCATGCCTATAGCCAGACCTGCACGCCAGACTTCTAGGACTGACTGTCCAGCAGATCGTTTAAAGTTTTTTGAAACTTTACGACTTTTGCTAAAGCTTACCTCAGTCTCAAAGAAAAAAGACAGGGAGCAAAGAGGACAAGAAAATACGTCTGGTTTCTGGCTTAACCGATCTAACGAACTGATCTGGTTAGAGCTACAAGCCTGGCATGCAGGACGGACAATTAACGACCAGGACTTCTTTTTATATACAGCCCGTCAAGCCATCCCAGATATTATTAATGAAATCCTTACTTTCAAAGTCGACTATGGGAGCTTCGCCTTTGTTAGAGATAGAGCTGGTTTTAATGGTACTTCAGTAGAAGGGCAGTGCAAAGCCACTCCTGGAACAAAGATTGTAGGTTACTCAACACATCATGAGCATCTCCAACGCCAGAGGGTCTCATTTGAGCAGGTAAAACGGATAATGGAGCTGCTAGAGTACATAGAAGCACTTTATCCATCATTGCAGGCTCTTCAGAAGGACTATGAAAAATATGCTGCAAAAGACTTCCAGGACAGGGTGCAGGCACTCTGTTTGTGGTTAAACATCACAAAAGACTTAAATCAGAAATTAAGGATTATGGGCACTGTTTTGGGCATCAAGAATTTATCAGACATTGGCTGGCCAGTGTTTGAAATCCCTTCCCCTCGACCATCCAAAGGTAATGAGCCGGAGTATGAGGGTGATGACACAGAAGGAGAATTAAAGGAGTTGGAAAGTAGTACGGATGAGAGTGAAGAAGAACAAATCTCTGATCCTAGGGTACCGGAAATCAGACAGCCCATAGATAACAGCTTCGACATCCAGTCGCGGGACTGCATATCCAAGAAGCTTGAGAGGCTCGAATCTGAGGATGATTCTCTTGGCTGGGGAGCACCAGACTGGAGCACAGAAGCAGGCTTTAGTAGACATTGTCTGACTTCTATTTATAGACCATTTGTAGACAAAGCACTGAAGCAGATGGGGTTAAGAAAGTTAATTTTAAGACTTCACAAGCTAATGGATGGTTCCTTGCAAAGGGCACGTATAGCATTGGTAAAGAACGATCGTCCAGTGGAGGTAGGTTTCCAGTAGGTATTAATACAATGATATCCTTAGTTCCATTTATTTATTGCAAATTATAATGTTGGTGTTATGTACTTTCATATTCTAATATTTTTGAACACAAATGGCAGTTATAAATTGCACATTTAAGCATTTCTGTAAAGTACTATGATTAAATAGATCTATGAAAACTGCATGAAATTTAGTGAATTAAGTGCAGGGTGGTATGTGGAGGGAATAAGTTCAACCACGTAAATACAGGATGGCAAAGGACAGGCTGGGTATAAACAAAAATGGAAGGAAGAAAGCCATAGTCATGGATGACCACAAGCTGCATGTGAGTCAGGAAAAAAGTCCACGTCACACTCAGGTGTTTATAAATGAATAGGGCGCCCAAGGTCAAGGAGAGAGTTCTTTCTCTATCCTTTGAAGTTGTTTTCTCTCTTTTGATTAGCATGTCAAGTTTTGGTCACTGTATTTTAAAGAGATGTAAATTATAGAGAAATGTCAGAATGATCAAGGGGAAAAAGCCAACACTATCTCGCAAGGTTAAAGTGTTCGGTGCAGGTGATGAAAGTTTAAGGGAAGTCCTGATTTTTGTCAGATATGTGTTTCGATATGTGTAGATTTTTGTGAGAGGAATGTGCCCACTAGAGGAAGTGACTTGAAAACAGTATAGATTTGCTTTTGATAGCTTGACGTGTTATAAATTCCTTATTGTAAAGGGTGGTAATACTAGACAAGGGCATTTTGTGGGATATCATTCTTGAGAGTCCAAAATAGTACTGTACAAGTGATTTTGCTTTTCTGGTGAGTTTGCATGTTCGTCTGGCTAAAAGTGAAACCCAAATCTTTGAAATACCTTATACCCGTGTTAAGTCTGTGATTCTGAATTTTAGTAGCTGTATACATACATATGTACAATCCCCTTGGTATCAGAGGTGGTTTGGTTTTGGGACTTCCCACGGATCCCAAAATCCGAAAATGCTCAAGTCCCTCATACAAAATGATGCAGTATTTGCATATAACCAATGCACAACCTCGTATGCTTTAATCTCGAGATTATGTGTAATGCCTTATGTAATATAAATGCTGTGTAAATGGTTGTTAATACTGTATAGTTTGGGGAATAATGGCAAGAAAAAAGTTTGTACATGTTTAATACAGATGTAGTTTTTCTTCCCAAATATTTCTGATCTGCAGTTGGTTGAATTCATGGATGTGGAACCCACGGATATGGAGAGCCAACTGTATATACTTGTTATTTTTATTTTTTTAACTTCATTTTTTTTTTACACAGCCTGGCTTGCTTTAAATTCATTAACGATAAACAACTTGGAAACTATGGAAAACACCTGAAGAGAACTTGAGTTTGCAAGATTTTAATTTTTTATTCTGACAGCCGGATTATGAGCCCTTAGGAGGAACGGGTTAAGCATTCACATAAATTCAGGAAGATGTTTACAACATGAACCAGTGCTTTGTAGCTATATTTTAAGAGATTTACTTTGAATATTATTTTGATTAGAAATCTTAAACATGAATGGCTGGAGTGGTTTAATTTCATTAAGGACATATGTTGGTAAGACAGGATTGATGTTTAATTTGTATTGTGACCACTGGTTTTGAAGTAACATGAGTGAAGAAAAAAGTCCTGGCAGTACCAACATCCCTTGGTATCTCATCCCAGGGGGATTTGTTCCAGGACCCCCATGGACACTCAAATCCTTGGATGCTCCAGTCCCTCATATAAAATGGTGTAGTATTTACATACAACCTATGTGCATCCTCCTGTATGCTTTAAATCATCTATAGATTACTTATAATACCTAATACAATGTAAATGCTGTGTAAATAGTTGTTATACTGTATCTTTTTTGTTTGTATTATTACTATTACTGTTTTAGAGACAAGATCTCACTACGTTGCCCAGGCTGGACTCAAACTCGTGGGCTAAAACAGTCCTCCTGCCTTAGCCTCCTGAGTAGCTTGTATTACTTTTTATTGTTGTATTCTTATTTTTAATGTTTTTTCAAACATTCTTGATCTGCGGATGCATATCCCAGGGTTTCAGAGGGCCGACTGTATAACCTCACCTCTAATTCAGTGGTTCTTATAGGAGAGCAGCACATGAGAAGAGGCCACGGTGGGGCGGGGGTGAGTTGGACATGTCGGGCTTCCGTAAACTGCTTCACCCACCCTCCCTCCCCAAATTGTCTTCCTTCCTCTCCAGGCTCTTCGTGGTGATTAACTATTGCTACTAATGAGGATTGTATCCCTTAGATATGTTATAGCAAGAAAAGATTGAGAACACGTGCCCTACATCTTATATTAGAACTCATGTTGAAAAAAGACAGTAATAGTTTCCCCAGAGTTCTGAATTCTCATCTGAGTTGTAGTTCTTTGGTTTGACCAATTGAGATTTCGCTGAAGAGGTCATCTTTGTTATAGAAGAAAAGAAACACGAATTCAAAGTTTATAAGGTATATAACTGAAAGACTTTATTAGAATTTTGTGTAGGTTGTTTGCTTTTCAAAAAATGAACTACAGAAGCCCCTGTTGTTTTAAATTTTGGTTCATAAGATGCTAAGTGTTCATCAGATAATGAAAGAGTAACAGAGAGCGAAAGTGGGACTTCTTCAGTATTGGGGATTAATCCAAACTAACAAAAGATAAGGCTCTACAATTCTAATTAACTTAGTGGGAAAGTAAGATTTTATTTTTATTCCCACTTTAGGAACATAATTTCTATAAAGGGAGGCGTGTGTGTGTGCGTGCTTGTGTGTGTATGTGTGTGAATATGTGTACAGTCCCCCACTCCCAGGTTTGTTTTAGTCGTTTTATTTGGTATGTCAGGAAAAGAGTCACAATTTTGAAGTCCATTAACTGGGTTTCATTTCTCACTGTGACCCTTTCTTACCATAGAACGTTGTGGATAGGAATCTTTCTGACTCGAAGCCTTTGCATTTATAGAGTGGGTATAATACTACCTTCTTACCTACCTCACAAGGTGGTTGTTGTGAGGCTGAAAAAGATAGGCGGTAAGTGGTGTTTTCATTCCCACACTGCTATAAAGAAATGCCTGAGACTGGGTAATTAATAAAGAAAAGAGGTTTAATTGGCTTATGGTCCCACAGATTGTATAGGAAGCATGGCAGGCAACATCAGCTTCTGGGGAGGCCTCAGGGAGCTATAGTCATGATGGAAGGCAAAGCCAGAGCAGGCACTTCTCATGGCTGGAGCACGGGCAGGGTGAAGGTGCTCCATTCTTTTAAACAACCAGATCTCTTGACAGCTCACTCACCATCATGAGAACAGCACCAATGGGATGGTACTAAACGGTCACCTCCCACCAGGCCCCACCCCCAACATTGGGGATTACTATTCAACATAGGGTGGGGACACAGATCCACATCTTATCAAATGGTAAAATGCTCTACAAATCAACCATAAACTTTTAGAAGTTTTATTACTTTTTCTTCCTTGAAGCTAACTGTAAATCCATATGGGTGCAACTGTATTTTTATTTTTAAGATATCTTCTGCCTTTTAACCTCTGCCAAATAATTGTACATTTTAAGGGCATACATTTTAGGCAGTAAAACCTTTTAGGTTTGAGGACTTTTTTGTTTGTTTGTTTGTTTTTGAGACAAAGTCTCATTCTGTTTCCTAGGCTGGAGTGTAATGGGAAGATCTCGGCTCACTGCAACCTCTGTCTCCCGGGTTCAGGCAATTCTCCTGTCTCAGCCTCTTGAGTAGCTGGGATTACAAGCGTGCACCACCATGCCTGGCTAATTTTTTGTGTTTTTAATAGAGACGGGGGTTTCACCATGTTGGCCAGGCTAGTCTTGAACTCCTGACCCCAAATGATCCACCTGCCTCCGCCTCCCAAAGTGCTGGGATTACAGGCGTGAGCCACTGCGCCTGGCTAGTGTTTTTGTTCTTAATTGTTAAAATATCTGAACTGACAAGGTACCACAGATTGTACATAATGCATATTTTGCAGTTTTTGTGGTTTCGTGATAATAGGAATGAATATAGGTGAAGGATTTTGTAGAAAAGAAGAAATACACGTGATGTTTGATTTTTCTTATCTATGTCTTTATATATTTTTTGATTACGTTACTTATAACCAGTGTTTGCAAAGCACATGTGATCTTACATTTAATTTCCCTTTGTAAGCATGCTTTACAAAATAATTTTTTTTTGAGACAGAGTTTCGCTCTTGTTGCCCAGGCTGGAGTGCAATGGCGCTATCTCAGCTCCCTGAGACCTTTGCCTTGGGGGTTCAGGCTATTCTCCTGCCTCAGCCTCCGGAGTAGCTGGGATTACAGGCATGCGCCACTATGCCTGGCTAATTTTTGTATTTTTAGTAGAGATGGTGTTTCACCATGTTGGTCAGGCTGGTCTCAAACTCCTGACCTCACATGATCCACCCGCCTTGGCCTCCCAAAGTGCTGGGATGATAGGTGTGAGCCACCGCGCCCGGCCCAAACTAATTTTTCTCTAAAACTTTATTAATATTTCAAAATATTTTAAAAGAACTGAACTAGCAATACTAAAAAAAAATCTGTTTGCAGTTTGTTTTCATAATATGAATGCCATAAATGCCTTTAATGATTTGTTCAAAATTATATGAAGTTGTAGCTCTGTACCTTCTGTAAATTGATTTCCTCAGGACACATTTCTAGTTACATAGGCAGTCTCTAATTGAAACAAATGGATTAGTTTCCAGAGTCCACTTGAATAGGCAGTTGTTTGGGATCTTGAAAATACTTATCTATAGAAACAGTGTTGTAAATAAGAGAGTCTCAGATTATCAAATGAAACTTATTTAAATCCATGTAACTGAACTAATAATACCAGCTGCAGTTTTATCCTGGCTGTAAGGACTACCATGATGGGAAAAAATAAGAGGAAACCTTACCCTCCCCCATATCCATTTGTGGACCCAGATACAATCCAAGATCTTTTTTATATTTTCTCATTTATCTTCTTCTTCTCTTATTCCATTGCTGTTTAGAACATCCCAGGATCTTATTGTTTGTACTTATTTTTCCACCTTGCTGTAATACCAGTTCTTCTAGTCTGAGTATTGTTGATCTTGGGTCTTAGGGATGAATGTATCAGCCATTTCATAATGTATCATGGTCTCTCAATGACAGGGATTGTCTTGCCTCCAACTCTTGCTCCTCTTTCATTAGATGTGCTTGTATGGTGACCCTTCCCAACCCTGCTTAAAAGTTAACAAGAGTCATCTCAGCAGTCCAGTAGTTTCCAGGTGTCCTTCCCAGCAGTTACTGTAGCTAAGGATGGGTTTTGTAATACTATTTACAGTTCAATTTAGCTTAGAAATTAAGACCAAGTAAACATATATAAAAGATTTATCCTTAATATCAAAACTACTGCATACAATTGTATTTTTTAGAGCAAACTTTTCATCTTGGAATAATATCAGATTGATAGAAAATTTGCAAAGATAGTACAGAATTCTTATATGCTCTTCATCCAGCACGCCTTAATATTGACTTCTCACTTACCCAATACATTTGTTAAAACTAATATATTAACATTGATACAAAGTGCTGTTAACTAAACTACAGACTTTTATTTGGATTTCCCACTTTTTCTAATAATTCCCTTTTCTGTTCTAGGAACCAGTCGAGGACACCACATTGCATTTAATTGTCATGTCCATGAATCTGGATTTGTCTGATATGTTCTCATGATTAGACTGGGGTGATGGGGCTTGGGAATGGATGCCACAGAGTTGAAATGCCCTAGTCGCATTACATTGTCACTGTTGATGTTAACCTTGATCACTTGGTTAAGGTGGTGTCTGCTAGGTTTCTCCAGGAGTTACTATTTTTTCCTTTCCATACTCCAATTCTTTGGAAGTAAGTCACCACACACAACCCACTCTCAAGGGGAGGGAAATTAATCTCTACCTCCTGGAAGGGGGAGTATCTAATGTATTATTTGGAATTTCTCCAGATGGAAGTTTTGCTTCTTCTCATTTATTTGGCCATTTATATCAGTATGGACTCATAAATGTTTGCTGTTGTTTTTACTTTGAATTATAATCCAGTACCATTGTTACTGATTTTGTTGCTCAGGCTGTTCTTGTTTTAGCCCATTGGAGCTCTTTCAGTTGCCTTCTGTGTCGTTTGATATGCTCCCCTCTTTTGTTGTATTATTTTCCTTTTGATTTGCTTTTTGAATCATTTCTTACTTTCTGGCACCACAAGATGCTCTGGGCTTGTCTTGTATTTTCCCTCGTTCTGTCCTAGGATCAGCCATTTCTCCAAGGAGCTCTGGTTCCTTTTACTGGATAATTGTATTTAGAAATGAAGATGTGGGCACTGGGTGTGTTCGGTGCTGTTGGGGTGTCATTGCTTTTAGGCCTTCTCAGTGATAGAATTAGAACGTACAGGTATGTCTTCTAACCTGTGTATACACACAGATTTATAATTCCCTATCTAAAATAATCATGAGTTCATACTGATGTCTTTCGCTCTGATTCAGCACAAGGTTCATTCCGACTTTCCTCCCTTGCTTATCTGTAACTTACTTCTCTTATAGTGAGAAACCTGGCTACCATTACTACAATTAATTACATGTTTGTTCAACCCTACCATACGTGTAAAGTAGTTTCAGAATTGCTAACCAGTACCCCTGTGAGGAATAAATTTATCAACTAGGGTGTAGTGTTTCAGTCAAGTTCCTTTTGTCTTTAGCCTTTTATAGTCAAAACACTATTCTCCAAAGTAACTTAGGTCAGCACCTTTTTCCTTCACCTTCCTCAGTGAGGTGGTATCATACTTTTGTAATTTAATTAGATTCATTTATTTCATCTGCGTTGCATCCTGGGATCCTCCAAAATCCTGATTGACTTTTTAAAATGTGCATACTCTAAAGTTCACTCTGTAATATATAGTTCTATGGGTTTTGTGCAATTTAAAATGTTAAATACAAAATACTGTAATATGGTTATTTTGTGCTCCTCCTTTTTGATTTCCTTATGAACTTTATTTTCAGAAGAATAAGATGAATATATTGTAATGTAATGTACAAAATGTATAATTGTCTGACTTTGTTGCCTCAAATACTGGGAATATTTTTGTTTTGATTACTGTCTTAATTGCTTTCTTTAGAATTAGAAACGATCATGTAGTTATTATAAATTTAATGGCCAATGAAATACTCTTTGTGTTTGGATTCTAACAATAGTTGTGCTAATTTTTTCCTGTACACACAGGAAACACTGAAGAGGTTGCCGTTTATATTCAAAGCAGACAAAGCATGTAGAAACTAGGAAATCAATAACAGCAGCTACCATTTATTGACTCTCACAGTGTTCCAGACTCAACAACCCTGTGAGGTGGTGCATTTTCCAAATGCAGAAACCAGTTTAGGTACAGTAGATAACTTTCACAAAAATCACAGAGCTATAGATTGTTAGAGGGATTCAAATTCAGGATTCTGGGATACCAGACTTTATCCTACATGGTTTCGAAACCTGGCTGCACCTCAGCATTACCTAGAGGGCTTTTAAAAATACGTGTGCCTAGCCATTCTGAGAGTAGGACAAGTCAGAATCTCCCAGTGGGGGACACGAGCACTGACATTGTAAACAAACCTCCTGTGTGCCTCACGTGAAGCTAGACCAGCAACAGTGTAGTTCTGGTACTCACTGGAAACACTGATTAGGCTCCAGTGCTCTTCCGCCCCATGCCTTTAAGATCATGCTGCTTAATACAGTTGTTAGAGTTAACTTATTACTTGTTTCAATCATTCCCTGTCTGATTTCATAAGATTACAAGAACTTTGTAATTGAATGACACACTAACAAGCACATACTTGCTCATTTGCCTTTAGGTTTTCTGTTTTCTTAAACATACAAACATACAAAGGAAAGTAGGAAGTTGTGTACATTATTTTGGACTATAGTGAGCAAACCGACTCAAACTGATGTAATATCACAGGTAGGATAGAAGTCATCAACTTTGAGCTGAGAACTGGATCCCGTGATAACAACAGCACAATAGTAATATTGAGAAGACTAGTAGCTAGCATTAACTGAACACTCGCTACATGCCGGGGCAAGGAAGAGGGCTAAGTAACTTGATCAGGTCACAAATCTAGAAAGTGGCAGAGCCAGGATATGAACCCAGAGCTCTGGCTGTAAAGCCATGTATGCTCTTGACAGTGTACAGTCTCCCAAAGTTACATTTTGTCCCACACAGTGTTTTAAATATTTTTTTTGACTTAGTGTCTAATATTTTTAAATGGGAAAATCCAGATTTTGGGTTTTCCTAGAAATACTGGGAAGTCTGTCAACACTGGGTCCACATTCCCACATGACCAGCAGCATAAGGGCTCCAGGTTACCACAGTATCCATCATTTGTCTTATGGCCACCCAAGTACACCTGTTTACATGACTTACTGGGCCTGTGTAGAAATTGCAGTTTGTGATAGGATCCCAGTATAGAATCACAGAAACTGACTTTTGAAGGGTAATGTAAAGGCTATTTGTATCTAACACTTTTTTAAAAAACAGTATGCTTTTGTTTTATTTATTGGAGTATATTTTTGAAGTCCCTGTCCTCTGTCACTGCTCAGAGTAATTATCATCTGGTTTATATTTTCTAGAGTTTTTTGTGATTCTATAAATTATGTCTTTGTTATGTAACACATGTAATTTTTTACAACAAATGTGATAATGCTATACATAATCCTACTACAACTTGAAGGGTTTCCCCCGTGTTGTCTACTTTGGATCTGTCCTTGTAGATATATATATATATATATAGCTCTCGTTGTTAAATTCCATTTAACAACTACATGATATTCCATTCTATGAATGTACCATAACTTATTTAATTATTTCACTCTTGATGGAAATGTAATTTTTTTGCTTGTGTAAACAATGTAGCCACAGACATTCTTGTACACACCCCTTTATGAACTTATTCTGTTGTTTTTGTAAGAATGCTTAATTGAAATGGAATTGTTAGGTCATGGGGTATATGCACATTCACATCTTTGATATGTATTGCCAAATTGCTCTCCAAAAAGACTATACTAATTTATACTTAAAACAGTGCAGGAGAAATTTGATTTTTCCTCATTTTTATAACCATGATCAGCAAAAAATGTTATTTCATTGATTGATTGATTTTTTTTTTTAAGTCAGAGCCTCACACTGTTGCCCAGGCTGGAGTACAGTGGCACAGTCTCGGCTTATGGCAGCCTCCACCTCCCAAGTTCCAGCGATTCTCATGCCTCAGCCTCCTGAGTAGCTGGGATCACAGGCGTGTGCAACCACACCTGGCTAATTTTTTGTATTTTTAGTAGAGATGGGGTTTCATTATGTTGGCCAGGCTGGTCTCGAACTCCTGGCCTCAAGTGATCTGCCTGCCTTGGTCTCCCAAAGTACTGGGATTACAGGCGTGAGCCACTGGCACCCGACCTAAATCTTTCTCTTCATTTCTAGTGACACTGAGCCTGTTTTTCATGTTTATTGGCCATTTGCATGTCTTTTCGTTTGCTTATTTATTTTGCTCATTTTCTGTTAGGCTGCCTTTCTATTATTGATCTGTTGGAACTATTTATGAATTTTATTCATTTTTCTATGATGGTTGTAAATACTTCTTTCAATTTGCCTTTTAACTTGTTTAGGATACTTAACACTGTATAGAAATTTCACATTTTTATATAGTCATGTCTGTTGTTATTTTATGACTACCTTATTTTATTTGTACTCAGAGATTATTTTAAAATTTTATAATTGTCATGGTTTTCTTTTTACACTTTGAATCAGTTTGCAAATAATGTCCATGTGTTATCATTGTTCATTATATTTCTAAAGTGTTTTAGTCTGTAGATTCCCCCTGCCTTTTTTTTTTTGCCATATATGAAGAAGCAGGGTCATTTATCCTGTAGGGTCTGAATTTTTATGATTGTATCCCAGTTGCCCCACATGTTTCTATTTTCTGTGTCTTCTCTGTGAATTGGCTGTAAAATAGAGTGGCTTGATCAAATTCAGGATTTTTTAATTGGTTGGTTGTATTAACACTACTTTCCCAGGACACACACATATCTGACTATTTGTGCCATTAGTAGTAGTTGATGAACATTGCCTAGATTCCTTAATACATTAAGGGCTGAAAAGTGAGGATATTCTAATTCTCTCATTTCTTCTTCATTTATTAGCTTCTTTATTATTCATTTCATTTATTAGATATTGCTATAAGGATAAACTTTTCCTCACCTATTATATGGTTACTTAGTGGAATAGTTGACACAAATGGCAAGATTAATGTGCTTGATTCTTTACCTTTTATTTACTATTTTTTAAAATAATGATGTGGTTTATTGATGACTAATTAGTGTTATTAGTATGATTTTGAACTCATGAATTTAAACATATTTGGTATGTTTCAATCCATGGATGTCATTAATGTATTGAAGTAATTATTGTAATTAATGTTCACGTCCCATCTTTGGACAATGGGAACATATTCAATTGGCTTGACTCCTTTTTTCACAGTCCTTTGATAGCTTCCATGTTATTTAGTGTAACTGGCTATCCTAGGCTGACATTGTATATCTGTTCCAGGTTGAGAGTCAGATATGTTTTGTTTTCTTTTTCTTTTTTTTTTTTTTTTTTTGAGAAGGAGTGTCACTCTTTTGCCCAGGCTAGAGTGCAGTGGCGTGATCTTGGCTCACTGCAACCTGTGTCTCCCTGGCTCAAGTGGTTCTCGTGCCTCAGCCTCCTGAGTAGCTGGGATTACAGGCATGCGCCACCACGCCCAGGTAATTTTTTGTATTTTTAGTAGAGACGGGTTTACACCATGTTGGCCAGCCCGGTCTCAAACTCTGACCTCAAGTGATCTGCCGGCCTCGGCCTCCCAGAGTGCTGAGATTACAGGCACGAGCCACCGCGCCCGGCCACTGAGAATCAGGTACATTTTTAAGGAACCCTAGTTCCCTTTATTGAGAAATGGTATATTCCAAGACCACTGTCTGTACCCCAGCATTGTTCATTGCAGCAGAAATTGTGGCTGGTCATTGTTTTACTGTTTAGTGGGCAGATGAAAACACATACACAAAATGCATCACATGTCCTTTCTGATAGTTCTGATTCAAATTCAGGATTTGAGAATTTTGCTTAATCTCTTCTGACTTAATCCATATATCACCACCTTTCTTTTTTTATTGAGAAGCCCAATGTTCTGTGATACCAGGTGTGACAGAATATCAGATACTGACTATATTCCAAAATAGACAATCATCTCAGTGTGATTACTGGAAAACAGTTCAAGTTTTGTTTTTGACCATCCTTAGGTTATAACCCTCTGTGGATGTAACATCAGATAACTGCATTTTAAAGACTTTTGGAACATTTCTTCTCGTGGCTCTGCCACTGACTAGATATACAGTTAGATTCTTTTTTCTACTTTATTTCCAAAATAATAGCTTTATTGAGATATAATTCACTTAGCATAAAATTCACCATTTAAAGTGTTCAGTGGTTCTCTGTATTTGGAGTTGTGCAACCATCACCACTGCAACCATCCTCACTGTGTAACTTTGGAACATTTTCATTGCCCCTAAAAGAAGTCCTGTACCCTTTAGCTGTCACCTCCACAATTCCTGTGCTCACTAGCCCTATCTCTAGGCAACCGCTAATCTACTTTCTGTCTCTTAATATTTGCCTAGCCATATAAATGTGGTCATATGGTATGTGGTCTTTTGAGACTGGCTTCTTTCATTTGCATAATGTTTTCAAGGTTCATCCTTGCTGTGGTATGTATTGGCGCTTCATTCCTTTTTATGACTGAATAATATTCCATTGTATGGCTATACCACGTTTTGTTGATCTATTCATAGATTTCTTAAAATTTTATTTTTAGGTATTGGTTTTTAATTTGTTTTTATAAGAATTATGTGAAGTACTTGGTTTTACAAGAAAATCTAAATGTATTCTCAAAGAAGTTTAGCTTCTCTGACAGGGATAGTTAATCTTTTAAAACATTTTATGTTTTATACTTCTGTTTTTTAGTGTAACCTTTTTGGAAGTATGTAGTTTTGTTTATTTATTTACTTTTAATGTTTAAGATGAGTTTATTTCCCCCAAGATGTCTTTGTATTAATATCTTTACATAACACCCTTAATATCCCCTCTTCAATTTTTTAATCTGCTTGTTCCCAACTTTGAGCTATATTGGAATTATCCTTTTATTTCTAAAGTTTCATTTGAAGTAATTTTCTTTTACTGCCAGTGAAATGCCAAGTTATTTCATATGCCCTTTCTTTTCCCCCAGATGGTGGTGGTGTGGTATATCTGTATTATCAATCATACAGCCGTGTATGACAGTACTTTCTCCCCCATAGCTGTCATTTAGTCTCAGTTCTTCAGGGTTGTGTGTGTGTAGATAGATAAAATATTTATAATAGACATGTAGATAGAAGTTTCAGATTTTGTTTAAAGGCTCATTTTTAATTATTATATCCCAGTCTCTTGAGTCATTCTGGTTGAGTGACACCTGTTCTTTAGTAGATTTCTGAGTAAGGGCTCAGGAGGACAGCATTTCCTGAGTTCTGCCATGTTTCTAACAGTTTGCAACATTTATACTTGGAAGTTTGTTTGGCTGTCCATAAAATCTTTGGTTTATATTTTCTTTCCTTGGATAAATTTGTTATTCATTCTTTTGACAGGAAGCATTGATGTTGAATGGTCTGATGACAATGTGATTTTTTGTTTCCATTTACAAGACCTTTGTTTGTTTGCTGAATACCTAAAGGATTTTTTTCTTTAAACTCTACTAGTTTTACAGTGTTGGTTTTTCCAATTTGATATTTTCAGATACATGGTGTACACTTTGAATAAATAGTTTAGTTTGTTTGTTTGTCAGTCTGTTTTTTAAATTTCTAGTGAGTTTCTTAACTTACAGTTTCACATTTTTGCTTCACTGACTCAGTTCTCTTTGGGAACTGCTCTTTATATATTTTGGATCTACTTTGCCTGTCTTCTCTGTCATTTCATTTCAGATCTTTTCTTTTTCTTAGTTTCTTTTTGAGTTATAAAGTTTTCTTTTGTTGACCTCATTTCAGTGAAGGCATTATCTGTTCTGTTTATTTGCTCTTATGTGCCTTCTAGTTTGTTTTTGATTTGGGACGTAAAATTGATTTGATTTTTGATTAAAAAATTAAATTCTGAGTTCTATCACTGAGGTTTTTTTTCTAATTCTAATTTTTGTCATTATTTTATATTTTTTATGATTTTCTTAATTTCTTTTAGTTTATTTCAGAAATCGGTCTACAATTCTCATCTGCTTAGTGGACATATCTTTCTGGCAAGCGCTCACTGTCTGGAGGGTTATTCTCCTTTTTCTCTCTCTGCTTATGGTAACCTTGTGCTAGATTCTACTACAGTTCTTTTCTGTTGCTTATTTTTAAACATGATACTTGTTTCCATGAACTTAAAGGAGAGAGGGAGTTAGGAAAGTGTTTGGGATTGGGGCTCTG
This sequence comes from Homo sapiens, assembly GCF_000001405.40. Taxonomy (NCBI): domain Eukaryota; kingdom Metazoa; phylum Chordata; class Mammalia; order Primates; family Hominidae; genus Homo; species Homo sapiens. The sequence goes on from NC_000006.12 coordinate 161,063,498, forward strand.
AGTACCTTCTTCTCAAGTTTCAAACCATCTTCTCTGTTATTGTTTGAGGTCTGTGGACTGTTCTTCTTCCCATGTTCTCGATCTCCTCTTCTCTTTCCTCCTGTTGTCCTTTACTGGGGAGTTGGATTTCACTTTTTTTCCTCGATGTGGAGCCGAGAATTCCTGGAAGGGAATTTGGGGTACTAGTTTTAAGATATTATGGGGCCTAAACCACTCCAGCCCTTTCAGACCTTACTGCCAACCCCTTGCCTTCACTCATGAATAGTGCCAAAATCATTCCTAATTTCACAGAAGTTCTCTGTAGACTCTGTGAGCTTTTCATAGAGCACTCATCATGACTTGGGAATTGCCTCTTTACGCCCTTCAGACACCCTGTTAATTTCCTCTGCTTCCCTCCGCTAATGCTGATACCACATGGCTCTTGGAACTGTTCATGGTTTTCCCACCACCTCTTCTCTTTGGGGAGTCATGACCACCCCTTTTCATCTAGTTTTGTTGGAGGTTTGTCTCACAGAGTTTTGGTTTTGCTGTCCTCATTGCTCCATTTTTATGAGAGGGCGTTGAAGGGAAATTGAAACCCTGTTGCCACCACTTTTTCCCAGAATTCTTTTTTTCAGTTTGACCTGTACTAAATTGCCAGTATTTGACCATTTTCAATGAACGAAAGTGGGAATTTTTATATAGTTTAACCTAATGCAGAGCTCTATCTTTAGATTTTACTACATTGGGAATTTCTTTTTCCAAATATATTGTTCAACATGTATTTTTGTGTTTAATACATACTTTGATTTCCCATAATAACCAGTAAGAATTTCTAAAACAGCTGCATAATTTTAGAAATGAATACTTGTGATACTGTGAGGTATAGTATGAGGTAAGCATGTCATTATTTTTCTGTTAATTGCTTATAACATACATTAGATAACCCATTATTTTCCAACTTCTTAAACTGCTGCCTTTTTTTTTTTACATTAAATTCTAGATAATTGGGTATGTTTCTGTGTTCTGATCTGTTTATTACTGTGCAGGCTTATTCTATTTTAAATAGAGTAGGCTTATTAGTAAGGTTTGGTATCTTGTAGGACAGTGTTGCCCATTGTTTCTTTTCAGAAGTTTCTGTGCTGTTTTTATTTTTGCACATTACTTTCTTCCACATGGGCTTTATTATGGATTTGTCAAATCCACACAACATGACATCAGAATTATTATTGTAATTACATTGCATGGTCTTAATATAGAATCTCTAAGATGGAGAGCACCCTTTCAATGATTAGAAGAGACACAAGATGGAAATAAAGATTTTATTACTTGCAGGTTCTGGAGGGTACACGGCACGCCTACAGGCCGCTCATGCAGAGGTCAGGAAGTGCAGACAGGGAGAGAGGGAGGGACCCATGGGCCAATGCCTTCGTGGAGTCCAAGGTATTGTCCAAACAGGTTTCCCTCAGGAAGGTTTAATTGGTGGATTTAAAGCAAGCAGGCACAAATTCCAGGAGGTCACGCTGTTACAGAGGTAGTCACAGTGCTGTGTCTGCACTGTCCATGAGAGGTATGAGGGTCAGGGCCAGTGAACCAGTCTGTGTGTAGCTGTCCATAGGGAGGTGGTCACTAGGAGGAAGTTGTATAAGGCAGGTATCTGGATCAGCCACATTGAGGAACTGGGAGGCAGTGTAGAACTGCACCCTGTGTCAAGGGTGACAGAGCCCTGCTTCTGCTATGTGAAGGTTCCACTTAGATTCAAAGTGCATACCAAGGCAACATAAAATTATGAGAATTTACTATGCATTTTATCCATGTCCTTATATTATTGAATCTTCCTAGTTTGGCTAGGCTTGATCTGGGGTTTTACACTGTGTTTGATGCTGTGCTCTTCACTGGAATAAGATGATAACAGATATGTGTTCCTGCACTGCACTGTCCCTTTCTCCGCTCACTGGTTTTATTGTAATAATTTGGAATGCAAGATCCAGGCCTTTTCTTTATAGTGTACTTAAAATTGTGTTTTTAATATTTCATTCTAGAACTCGAATTGTAGTCAGTAACCAAATTATCATCATATAGTTGTATCTGCCTATACAGATTGAAAATCCCTTATCCGATATGCTTGGGACCAGAAGTGTTTTAGACTTCAGCTTTCTTCGGATTTTAGAATATTTGTGGGCTGGGCACGGTGGCTTACGCCTGTAATCCCAGCACTTTGGGAGGCCAAGGCGGGTGGATCATGAGATCAGGAGATCAAGACCATCCTGGCTAACACAGTGAAACCCCGTCTCTACTAAAAATACAAAAAATTAGTCTGGCGTGGTGGCGGGAGCCTGTAGTCCCAGCTACTCGGGAGGCTGAGGCAGGAGAATGGCGTGAACCCGGGAGGCGGAGCTTGCAGTGAGCCGAGATCGCGCCACTGCACTCCAGCCTGGGCAAAAGAGCAAGACTCCGTCTCAAAAAAAAAAAAAAAAAAAAGAATATTTGCAGAATGGATACCAGTTGAGCATCCCAAATCCAACATGTCAGTGCTCAAAAAGTTTTGGATTTTGGAGCATTTCAGATTTTGGGTTTTTGGATTAGGGATGCGCAACCTATATAAGTTTTGTTAAATTTATGGCTTTTCTCTTTGTTTGCTATTTTTCTTTCCCTATCTTGTGATTTTTTTATTCCAGTCTAGTTGTCATTTAACTAGACTCTACCATAACCATACTTTGAATAGTTTTTTAGAGAAGGTAAGTGAATTGTACTTTGAGATCATCCCTATTCAGAGGCTGCTGCTGCTTTACATCTTAGTGGTGTTTTGACTATGCCAAATGCTTTTCTCCCCTTTTCCTTTTGTTCTTTATGGAACTCTGATCTTACGTTAGAGCCGCTAGATCTGACTTCCATGTCTCTTGTTTTTACTCAAAGTTTCCATTTCATCTTTTCTTTTTTTTTTTGCTCTGAGTTATAGTAATAATTTCTGCAGTTAATTCTAGATTATTAAATCAGTTTTAGCAGTGTTCATTCTATTTTCACTGTCTTCTTGAGTTTATTTCAGAAGTCTTAATTTATTATTTTCCAGAGGACTTTAATGAGATCTCGTATTAGAGTATTTTTATTGTTCTCTCCTGTTTTCTACATTAAATCGGTATTAATTGAGCCCAGCTGTTCTGATTCTTCCCTTTAGTCTCCTCTTAAGGAAATTGCTGTTTCCTCTGAAGTGCTGAATTTTTGAAACATCTGCTCCTCTCTGTCTGGACATGTATTGACATACCAAGCTCCTCCAGCAGGAAGGGGGTTCCTCTGTGACTGTGGAGGTCTGGCTGTTGGCTCTCCCAGGCAATGTGGTCTTGCACTTTTTTGAGAACTAGGGATTGTGCCTTTGGCTCATTGAGCCCGTAAACAAAGTCAGCAGGCTGGGACTGTTTGGAATGCTGAAAGAATTATTTAGAATTTTATCTTAGAAAGTTTGGTGAATTTTATAGAGCTTTATATAAACATTGTTTTCTGATATCATTATACCAGAGGCGGTGGAGGGAAGCATTTACAGCGTCTAAAGCCTTTACTTACACATACCTTAAGCTGTTAACCCTGAATATCTGAGACAGGTCTGTTAATTTAGAAAGTTTGTTTTGCCAAGGTCAAGGATGTGTGCGCCTGTGACACAGCCTCAGGACGTCCTGACTATGTGTGCCCAAGGTGGTCAGGGCACAGCTTGGTTTTATACATTTTAGGGAGACATGAGACATCAATCAATATATGTAAGATGTACATTGGTTCCATCCAGAAAGACAGGACAACTCGAAGCAGGGATGGGGCTTGCAGGTCACAGGTAGGTAAGAGACAAAACGTTACATTTTTTTGAATTTCTGATTAGCTTCCTTATGCATCGATCTCAGTGAGCAGAGGGAACAGGATGGGAGGCAGGTTTACCCTAAGCAGTTCCCAGCTTGACTTTTCCCTTTAGCTTAATGATTTGGGGGCTCCAAGATTTGTTTTCCTTTCACAACCCTGACCACATTTATTACAAGTAATTATTTTAGTGGTTATTTTAGAAATTCTTGCCTGTTAGGGAAACCCAGGTGTGTACTAATTTAAGTGCAAAAGTATGTATTAAATGTAGAAGGATAAATTAATCTTGTTTTCCTTAGTGCTAATGCAGATTACTACGTGGAAACGGTGTGTTCTTCCAACTTTATATTTTAGTGGTTATATACTAACATTGTTTGATGTCAGGTTATAATAGACTAAACGTCTGTGTTTTAAGAGACAAGAATTTTTTCCTTTCAGACGTTTAATCTTGATGGTAATTTTATACTAAGAAGAAGGCATATCCTCGTTTCTGTCATTAAGTGTATCTCAGTTATGCCAAGTATATGTTATTCTTTTTGAAAATCAAAACATCCACTTTTAAAACTGTAGACCTTGTCAATCTGTCACTAACATAATTACTGTTGGCATTAGGAGTACAATAGGGAATTTGAGAACTAAGAGCTTGTTAACAAGGTTGATGACATCATATGTTCCATTCTTTAGTGTTAGATTGTTAATAGCTGGGGAAGAAGAAACACTGGCACTTTTATAGGAGTATTTACCTATTAATTTATTCATCAAACATAAGCATCTATTATGTGGCAAGTACCGAGCTAAGTTTTAGAGACCCATAGTTAACTGGAGATAAACAATCTTTTTCATGGAACTGATGGTCTAATGGGTAAATAGATAAAATAATGCATTACAGTAAAGCATGATAAATACAACAGAGGAAGCATTTGCAAGGCACAAATACTGTGAGAAAAGGGAGAGATTAAATGAGTTATTTGAGGCAATCACAGAAAACTTCATAGAGGAGGGTGGCATCTGGGCTTCTTCCTAATGAGAGGAAGAGTTCACCAGGGACAGAACACTGTCTGCAGATCAGAACTTCTGATAATAAAAGGGATTAATTTGTGCAAAAGCACAGAGGCAGGTTTGTTATGGGTAAAGGAGAAGAAGGTGGTGGCAGGAGATAAGGATCAAGATCTATGCAGAGACCTGGCCATTAGGCTAAATAAAAGTGTCTGACACTTAGGGCTGTCAGTGAAGCATTGCATTTTAAATTAGAAGGGCTAAGACAAGCCTTGGAACAAAATCACTTTGTGGGTTATTGAGAGGTCAGTGGATTGACGCGTTGTAATCAGAAAAGCAGTTGAAGATCCACTGTGAGTTAAGGCAGAGGGTAGAGGAGAAGGTGGATTTAAGGAGTATTTAGTAGAACTGATAAAGCATGTTAAACGTCTGCATGTATGGTTCAAGGAAAGAAAAGTGTGGAAGGCCATGAATGAGCATTAATTAGTGAAAGCCAAGCTGTCCGTTGGAAATGGGAAAACACAGAAACAGGGAATCATCTTGAAGAAGATAATAGCCGTAAAAATTAGTCCACTCTGCAGCTGAGGCTCTTTGTGATTCCTTGAGTCCTCTGACAGTTCTAGATGTGGGGGTTTATGCAAACCTGACTTAAGATATGGCTTCTTCTATTTGCTGTAAAGCAACTAATGGTCCAGAAGGAGAGACCAACATGTTAACAGTAGTGATTTTACTAATGTTATATGTAGTATGTTTTTAGAGCGTTTTTCCCATGTGTACAGCATGCTGTTTAATCTTGTTAAGAGGTAGTTGATGGCTCTATTTTTAAAATGAAGAAATCAACCCTGAGAGACTACTCAGTGCTTCCAGAATCACATCGCTAATTGACTCAAAACCAGCTTTTCTGATTTTTGGACATTGGTTGTTTTCTCATTAAGCCACACCGTCTCTATCATGAAAGTCAAGGTAAACTCAGGGTTTAGAGTATTTTAGTGGCATGCTGTTGGGGGCGAGAAGAAAGTCACTGGAAAGGTATCATGAGGTGAACCTTGAAAACTAAGGATTTTGAAGTGGAAAATAAAGAGGCGAGCATTTCCAGGTGGGGAGGCAGCATGGGCAGCGAGGCTGGTGATGGCACACGTGTGTGAGGGTTGGTTGAGAGTGTCACGTGGAGGCAGGAGAGAAGGCAGCACTGGAGGGTGAGACTAGGTCATGGAGGGTCTTCCATAGCAGCTCAAGTTGTTTGGGCCATATTTGGTAGATGAGCAGGTCGGGGGCAGCACTTGGAAGTGTCAGATGAGAGTATCATTCATGAATGCAGCAACAATTACTGTCTGCTGTAATCAGTGCCAGGCGTGGGGACGGTCCTTTTAGTATAGTGGTAAGGAAGTGAAAGTCCTTGCCCTCAGGAAGTTCTGTCCCCAAGTTATGGTGGAGTGTGAAATACTCTGATGGCAGGGAGTAGGGGTTCTGGTGAGGAATGATGGGGAGGGGAGAAATAGCTCCCATGGAGCAGGGAGAAGGTGGGTGAGGACCAAAGGGAGGAGAAGCAGGGGCCTTGGGGAGCCAGGGAGGAGTGACCAGGAGCAGAGAGAGTGCTCCCAACATTCCAGATCCCCTACTTTATGGGGAAAGGTGTAAGGAATTTGAGAGGAACAGCTAAAAGAACGGGGGTGGGGGCGGACAACGCAACACTAGGGTTCCCGGGAAGCATCACAAAACGGATAACTGAGTCATGCCAACCAGGTTGATCTTAACGATTTTTTAATTTTTCTGTCAGCATCGTTCATTACAGCTCAGGGGAACAAATGGACAGAAGAATTAGTGGAACTGATTAGTTTTTATGTTTTCATAAATGGCTACTTAGGATGAGCTGTTATTTGATTTTGTAATGTTTTCTCTAATTTCAGTAATTCTCTGGTTTTTTTCCCAGTCTAGAGATAGTTGTCGATAGTACTGTATATAACCTGAAAAATAAAGTGTTCTGATCATTTTAAGTGTGAGGCAAAAATGTTAAAGATGAACCTGATTCTTTTTCTAATATACTTCTTTGATCAAAGTATTGCAATTTGGTTTTGGTTCTCATTATGGTTTCCAGCATTCTTAGAACTTTTTGGATCTATGTTGAAAATGTTGAAGTTATTAAATTCATTAAATTATTAAATATTCTTTTCCCTGTAAAATTAGAATTTTTGTAGATTTGTTAGCACATTGTAGAGAATAAGAGTTTATAACCACAACCGTAGAACGTTGTCTCGTATGCTCTTTTAATCTGTGCCTGTTGAATTTTTGTTATAGTTTTCTGAATTTCCAGATCCCATGTGGGGTTCAGATTATGTGCAGTTGTCAAGGACACCACCTTCATCTGAGGAGAAATGCAGTGCTGTGTCGTGGGAGGAGCTGAAGGCCATGGATTTACCTTCATTCGAACCTGCCTTCCTAGTTCTCTGCCGAGTCCTTCTGAATGTCATACATGAGTGTCTGAAGTTAAGATTGGAGCAGAGACCTGCTGGAGAACCATCTCTCTTGAGTATTAAGCAGGTTTGCTTCAAAGACTCTTTAAAATATTTAGCAATTATTATATTATCCTACAGGCTTATCATTTTTATTTTGAGAGTTCCTTTTTTTTTCTTAATTGTCGCAAATAGTGAAAAATGACTGTTTGTCCATGGTTTTAAGCTGTATATTTTAGGGTAATTAAAAATGTTCTTTATATGCGGTCCTCAAAGGTAAGATTGTGGTTCATCCTTTCTGTCATCCACTTCCTTGTTCTAAGTATTTTAAAGTTTCAGTCTTTGAAGACTAAAATTTAAAATTCATTCATAAGAGGTAGAGTATAAGATTCTTAAATTTATTTATTTTTTCTATTTGAAGTACATGTAAACAGATAAATGTCTAGAATAGGCATGGGGAGGGGTTTGGACTTTCTGCTTGCTTAAGCAGTGGTATGGTTTAAACAGTAGTGACAGCTTATGATTTCTTCGTTGTTGTTCATTCTGGGTGGGATCTTACGGATGTTTGATATCCCAGGAGCAGCAGCGGAATGGGTGGAAGCAGTTGTATCCAGCAGAGTGAGTGCTGAAGAGGGTCTGTATTTATTATTTATGATATTAACATATTGATATTCACCATATAAAGTAAAAATTTCCAGACCTTGTCCCCAAAAGAAGAAAGGTTGGTATGTTTTTTGTAGACTGTACGTGTCTATCCCATAGGGATTGGAGGGCTAAGAGCTACCCGGCTCTGTGAATGGTAAGACAAAGCATAGGTGAGCAGTGCAGATTGAGGAAAGGCAGGTGAATACAGGTCATACAGTAGGTACAAAATAGGATTTGTTTGTTTAATTAGGAGTAGAATAGAATGACTAATGAAAGTCATTTGGAGATTGTCCCCTGCATCTCATTTCCATCCCTTTGGTTCATACCCAGCACCGCCAGAGCTCTGTTTCCATGTTAGCTCCCCTTCCTTCTCACCCTCTTGTTTCTGGTTATTGTCGTGCTGTCCACTTTGGCCTTGCTTTTAACTCATCCTCATAATCGCAGTGGTTATCTAGGACATTTTGGGAAAATACTTCTCAGCTTCCTTCTTTATGAAAGAAATACTTCAGAAATATAGCCTGGTAAAGCAAGGTGGAGTTTATCTTTTGTTGATGGGGCTATTGTGAGGACTAAATAGTAATGTATGTTGTAATACTTTGAAAAATAAAAACAATACTTAGATTAATGTAGCACTGCTAGAGTAGAAAGAAAGCAGAAATTTTGGTTTAAATGCATTCAAAGATCAGTTACAAGCACCTAAGTGACATCTTTAATAGAGAAATTGATAATTATATAATCTGAACAGAACACTTTTTGTTAGATTTAACTGTAGCCATAGCTCTCTTACAGTGGATAATTACTTTAAAACATTTCTGGGAGAGACTTCTGTCAATAAAAGCAATCCATGTTTATTTTAGAAATTTAGAAAAGTACAAAAAAAGATAAAAAATCAAAATCAAAAATAATTGTAAAAACCCTGTTATTCTGACATTCAGAGATAACTGCTATGACATTTTGGTGTATTTCTATCCATTTGTTTTTCCTGCACATACATAACTTCCTACACATACAAGTAAGTATGTGTGTGTGTGAGTTTTTTCCCTGTAAGTATTTTTCAAAAGCAAGAATTTAAATGGCTGCAACAGTATTCTACTGTATAGGCACATCACAATTTATTTGGTTAATCATCGATTTAAGTAACATTGTGATAAATATGCTTGTATAGAAATCTTAGTTTAGATCTCTGATTATTTCTCGAGTGTAAAACATAATAGTATATAGATGAGTCATACATTTTTAGACTCTAGAAAGTTTGTATCAGTTTACCTTTCCATTAGCGGCAGTGAAGGTTTGGCTAACATGTATGAAAACGAATGTGACTGTGTGATCTCATATTACAGTCCCTGTTTATTAGAATTTGCGTACATTGTGTCTCAGTCTTTTTATTAATGGGGAGGGCTTTCCAGATTGTCTCATTTCAACCTTCTGCCCACGTTTGGCAGGTTATTACCTATTAGATCTATATATTGCAAATTTGCCCATTTTTTGTTTTGTTTTTTTCTGTTGATTTTTATCTAATTCCATCACATAATATTAAGTCGGTTGGTTGGTTTTGGTGGTCATTATTTGATGGTAGACTGGGCCACAAATCACAGTAGGTAAACTATGCTAAATTATTGCGAAGGCCACCTGCTTTGTGGTAAAAAGTACCTTTGAATCTTTATTATGTTTTTGATCATTAGGAGGTTTTTCTTTCTCACATTTCTTGTAATGTAAATTAGTAGAAAAATTGATTTTATTCTATGGGATTTACTTTCTATATAAGTTTGTTGTTAAGAGAATTTATTTTAGCAAAGCAGTAATTGCCTATATGGTATTTTCTCTGTGTATCCATGCTGTAGTATTAAATTCTTTTATTTTCACTGTTTTGTTGCTTCTCAATTGAGACTACTAAGGTATTTACATAAAATGAACTGATCAAGAATCTAGAAACTATTGTAGGTTTTTTAGAGGCAAGGTTCCCTCTGAGTTTTTTGAAGATTTAAGTAGGAAGATATAAAACACGGATCGTCTGGTTGGAGTTTATGGCTGCTGGAACCTGTGTGTGTTGTTTTGCAGCTGGTGAGAGAGTGTAAGGAGGTCCTGAAGGGCGGCCTGCTGATGAAGCAGTACTACCAGTTCATGCTGCAGGAGGTTCTGGAGGACTTGGAGAAGCCCGACTGCAACATTGACGCTTTTGAAGAGGATCTACATAAAATGCTTATGGTCAGAAGCAGTGGGGAGGAATTTTTCTTTCTTTCTTTGTTTCTTTTTTTAAAAAAGTAAGCCTGTATTTCCTTGTTTTGCAAACAGCGTTGGCATACATATTCAGATAAACTTCTCTAGTAATGAATTATAGAAATGATCCCTGAAAGTATAGCTTGTGTGTGTGTATTGCGGAGGGCGGTGGTGGTGATCTTGAATCAGAGTCTTTCCATCTGGTATTAGATTACATTTGTTTCTCTGAAATCCACATTTAAAAAATTCTCAATTGTTTTTAAGTTGGAAGTTTTTGACAAACGTTAACCTAGTTCATTCTTTACTTGTAGAATAGTTCATCTTATGGCAGAATGGCCCAGAAGTAGAATCAAAATATGGTCCTATGTTAGTGAACCGTCTGTCATCAGCCATTTTTATAATACCTAGGATGTGCTAGGGACCTTGCATGGCTCTGGGAGTGTTGAAGATCAACAAGACACTCGTAGTCTGGTGGGACTAGGCATGGTAGATGGTAACGCCCCCGAGGGCTCGGTGCCAGCAGAGAAGCTTGCTGTGTTGTCTGGGAGGCACTTCCAGTGAGGAAGCTGAATCTTAAAAAGATGAGTTAAGGGTTAGTTAAGGAACCTGGCACATTTGAGGACTTGTAAATAGTTTGATTGGGCAGGAGTAGACCTATTTTTATTTTGTCATAAAAAGAGACCTCCTGTCTTCTCACTTACACTGAATGTGCCCTGTGCTTTTAACCTCTGTTCACATTCTTCTTTCCTGTTAGAAATGCCCCCTCCTCCACTTTATCTGCCTATTTAAGGCTTACTTTCAGGTTTTATTTTTCTCTAGAAAGCTTTATCTGACAGTTTTAACTTTTAGTCTGTGTTTATACCTTCTTTGAACTCTTTTTAGCAGTTACAGTTAGAACTATATGGTTTAACATTTAAACAGAGACTCTTTTCTCAGGTTGCCCTAATTAGACTGAAAGCTTCATGAGCCAAGGGCTATAACTTGAAATTCTCTTGTTTTCCATAGTATCTGATAGTGTTCATGTATCGTAAGTACACGTTAGATTCATTAGGGTATATGCATAGATGATTACGTAATGTGACAGGTTAATGAAATAATAAAACTGTATCGTTGTAGGTGGGGTGCATTCATTCTTGCTTAACATGTACTGTGTCCTGCCTAAGGATGGCTGCAGCACCTACAGATACCACTCTCACTTTCTAAGCGGGAAGAAAAGGGGAAACAGACCTTACCAGCTAAGTCCAGACCTTTTTATCAGAGCAATAGGAGCTCTCCTGGCAACCCCACCCAGCACATTTCCCCTGCCTTTTGTTGACCAGACCTGTTGCATGGCCTCACTGTTGCCATGGAGGCTGGGAATGCACATGTTGAGCTTTCCAGCCTCTGTAGTAGAAGTAGAGAAGGAAGAATGTGGCTGGGAATGAGACATATTATATCTGGCATATTGCAAGAAATCATTTTAATGAGTTAGAAGTTATTCTCTATATAAAAGACCTGAGTGTGTAAAATGGCTGTATTTTGAAATACTATGTATTTATTTTCTTTTTTGAGATAGAGTTTTGCTCTGTCACCTAGACTGAAACGCAGTGGTGTGTTGACGGCTTCCTGTAGTCTCAACCTACTGGGCTCAAACGATCCTCCTGCCTCAGCCTCCCTAATAACTGGGACCACAGGCGTGTGCCACCACACCTGGCTAATTTTTAAAAATTTTTTTGTAGAGTCAGGGTCTCACTATGTTGCCCAGGCTGGTCTTGAACTCCTGGGCTCAGTGATCCTCCCGCCTTGGCCTCCCAAAGTGCTGGGATTATAGGCATTAGCCACCACACCTGCCCACTATATATTTCTTATGTCAAAAAAATCTTTATCTTGAAAAGTTGTGGAAAAAAGCAACAAGCAAATTATTATTTTTCTCTCTTTATGGGTAACTAAACCAGAAGTTTAAGAAGACAGAATATGCTTTGCTTCGTAAACTGTGTTTGCTGGCCCTTTATCCTGTAGTGGCAGGGGAGCAGGGTGAGGAGCATCAGGCATGTGAACCACGCCTTCCTGGTCAGCCAGTTTCTGTGCCATTGGTGAGCCTGTGTGATAGTGGAAGTCTAGGCTAAGTGACTTACCAACATTCACAGCTGGTTAGTTTTAGAAAGGCTTAGAGTTTAGTTTTGGCATTACTGTCAATTATCCACATCTCTCTTCTTACAGATGAAAAAACTAGAGACTGTCAGTGTTTTAAAATTATGGCCTATAATGTGCTAGAAGGATCAGGGCAAAGGTGTGTTCTGAGGACTAGGGGAGCCCAAACAAAATCAGTGTTTCTATTAGGAAGGAAGGAAAGAACAGCAATTGAATTGGCAGTCAAATTATGTTTAACACCCTTGTCTGGAAACCCACCGAAAACAGCAAATGGAAAAATTCCTTCTTCAGAGAAGGAGGAAATTGGCCACAATATCCTTTCCCATACCCTTCCAAAAATAAAAAGACTTAGAATTATTCGCCTTGAAATGTAAACTAAAATGAAGGTAAACCCAAGCTCTAAATACGTGTCCGCCTTAGGCCCAGAAGGCCCACCCAGAGATTAACTAGAGCCTTGATATCTAGGGGTGTGACAGCCATGACCGAAGCTGAGCCTGTCTCTCCAGGGATTCTGTTGTTGACTGAAGAGCTGCCCGACAGAAGGAGCGCGAGCTATACCGCAGCCTTCTCTGGTTGTCAGGAAGACTGCCGAATGGGAGCTCTCTTAGCAGGGGGAGGGGAAGCAGTGATTAGCAAGTTATGATGCAGAAATTCTGTGACCTTGGGGGCTTTACTCTGCGTTAGGACATCCACTGTACTCGAAAAACTGAGACACTTAAGCATGTAGGTCAAAGGAAGTAACTTGGTGAGCATTTGGAACATCAAATCTAAATCAAAGCTGTGAATTGTTATCTCATTTCCTGGGTCCCTGGCCTCAGAAGTAACCAAGACAATAAACATAATAATACATGATGTAGGAACATGTGACAGCCTTAAGGAAACCACTTAAAAAGATTTATAAGGATTGAAAATATGAAAATGATAGGCGAGATGTGGTAGTTGTAGAAGAGACACAAGAGAGCTCACATGTACACAATTTGAGTTTCTGCAGAAGAACAAAGAGCAAAGAAGCAGGGAAGCTCTTAAGTTTTCATCCTACAGATAATTATTGGGTATCCACTGTGTGCCAGGCAGGCACCATGCGGGGACCAAGGAACTAGTGCCGAGCGTAAACTCCCTCTTAGAGTTTAAGAATAGGGGGGTCCATGGTGATTGTAGAACCATGTGAACAAGACTACAGCTGAGAAAAATGCCCTCAGGAAAGGCACAGGTCTTTTGTGGACTGGTTAATTCGATTCAACTTTTTGTGGAGGTCAGGCTTCTCTGAGGGGGGAGCATTGCAACTTATCGGAAATTTATATACATTATAATCCAGTTTAGGTAACAGATGAAAAACGTAGACCAAACAATACTATATATTGTAGTTTCTGTAATAAGAGATTGTTTTAAAAAGCGTATAGACTAGAAGGAAATGTGCTCAGTTCATGATCATTGTTGCCTCTGGGGAGGGAGGAAAGAGATAGAAGTGAAGAGAGAACAAAGGAGAAACTAACTTTCTGGTACCTTATTTCTTATTGAAAAAAATATCTACATGTACCCCGGAACTTAAAATAAAAATTAAAGAAAAATCAACAAGAACATATCTAAAGCAAATATGACAAAATACTAACATTTGTTTATTCTGGGTGATACTTGTAGAATACTTTTTAGAATTTTTTTAGCCTCTTTGCTTTTTAACTTATAAAGAGAGGGATCAAGAGAAGCCCCTTTTTGGTAGCAGGTGCGGTCCGCTTGGGAAAGGAGCCTGGCAAGAGCAAGGCACCGCAGGCAGCCTGTGGGGGCTCCAGCTGCAGGTGGAGAGTAGGCTGGGGGTCCAGAGCAGATGTGAGAGGAACAGTTCAAGGCCATTCCAGGAATGCACATGCAAGTCCTTGGATTAGAGGGGGTAACATACATTCAGAAAGAAGTATAAGGATTCAAAGGAAACGTAGGCAGTGAAATGGCAGGACTCGGGTGGATCAAATGTGAACAAGGTGTTGGGAGTGACTGTGGGTGTCCAGCTCCTGCAGCTGTGTGAGTGGTGAAGATGTGAGTCCGGTGAGGAGTTTTAAATTGGGCTGAGGGCATTTGAAAGCCCTCAGGCTTGACTTTGCAAACTAAGGGAAAGAGATGGGAAAAAAATATATATATGTATTAATATGTATATACGAGAAAAGGGTGAGGTTCCTCAGACTTCTGGAGGAGATGGGTCTCAAACTCAAAGCACAAGCTTTGGGATTAGGAGGAACAGTAGTTCCTCTGCTATAAAGAAGGGAGGAAGAGAGGATGTAACCCTGTAGGTTTGCATGTTTGGGACCAGGAAGATTTTATACCAAATGACTTCTATTTTTGTGTGGAGAGGTAGAGATCATCTGCTGAGAATGGGTGGTGGTGGGTATTGGCAGTTGGAGGAAAATGGGGAAGTTTCAAACTGGTGGCTCTAGACAGAAGGAAAGTGAGCTAAGTAGAGATAGAAATATGACTCCCAGAAATGTTATGTGGCTGGTGATTATGACTAGTCCCCCCAGCTCCTTGAGTGTGGGCAGGGGGAATGGGATGGTTAGGCTTAAGCCAGCTTTGGGGTCTTGACCAACAGGTGAGATGAAAAGACAGTAAGGGGCTGCAGGGTGCAGGCAGCAGCGGGGACGCCAGCATGCTGATAGCAGTGCAGTTGAAAGGATAAGCCCATGGGATCTGAACTGAAGCCAGAGGAAAGCGAACAAAGGAGGGGGTTGTGAGTTGCAGAAAGATGAGCAGTCAGTGGACTGGGTTCCAGACAGGGCTAAAACAAGTTGCAGTGGTAGTGGTTGAACAAATCTCCTGGAAGGAGGAGAGGGGGCTTTATTATCAGGTGTTTGAACTGGTGATTTGGGGGTTGGAGCAGTTCTGGCAATGACAAGATCCAAGGTGGAACCCCATCAAAAGTGGAGAAAGGGCCACTGGAGATGGAGGCAGTCAGGAAGCTGGACTGAAGAAGTGTTCGGTGGGTTTTCCGCATGATGCTAAGCCACGGCAGGGTGGCCGAGCCCGAGATGGAGGAAAGACTGTTAGATGAAGGCCGATTAGAAGTCCATAGGTGACAGTCTGAAGAGGGGGCCAGTGGTGTGGCTGATGACGTAAATCTTAAAGGGGTAGGGTCTTTTGTTTTGCTTTCTAAAGAAGAATATATACAAATTATGGTTTAAAAGGAGCAGTTGGAGCCGGGTGCGGTGGCTCTCGACTGTAATCCCAACACTTTGGGAGGCCGAGGCTGGTGGATCACCTGATGTCAGGAGTTCGAGACCAGCCTGGCCAACATGGCAAAACCCCGTCTCTACTAAAAATACAAAAATCAGCTGGGCATGGTGGTGTACACATGTAGTCCCAGCTACTTAGGAGGCTGAGGCA
This sequence comes from Homo sapiens, assembly GCF_000001405.40. Classification (NCBI taxonomy): domain Eukaryota; kingdom Metazoa; phylum Chordata; class Mammalia; order Primates; family Hominidae; genus Homo; species Homo sapiens. The sequence continues at coordinate 161,079,121 of NC_000006.12, forward strand.
GGAGAATCACTTGAACCTGGGAGGCAGTGGTTGCAGTAAGCCAAGATCATGCCATTGCACTCCAACCTGGGAAACAGAGCAGGACCCTGTCTCAAGAAAAAAAAAAAAAAAAAAGCAGTGGGAACAGGAGGAAGCTGACTTTGCAGCCTTTGAGTGCATAGAAAGACAGAGAGTTGGCCGGACGCAGTGGTTCACGCCTGTAATCCCAGCACTTTGGGAGGCCAAGGTGGACAGATTGCCTGAGGTCAGGAGTTTGAGACCAGCCTGACCAACATGGAGAAACCCCGTCTCGGCTAAAAATACGAAATTAGCCAGTTGTGGTGGCGCATGCCTGTAATCCCAGCTACTCAGGAGGCTGAGGCAGGAGAATCGCTTGAACCCGGGAGGCAGAGGTTGCGGTGAGCCGAGATCGTGCCATTGCACTCCAGCCTGGGCAGCAAGAGGAAACTCCATCTCAAAAAAAGAAAGAAAAAGAAAAAGACAGATAGTTGCCCCTTGGGGGCCGCAAGGAAGAAGCTGTCCTCAGGAAGGAAAAACACGGAGATGGGGGAGCTCACCAAGAAGTGAAAGGGCGGTTCTGAGCCTCGTGTTGAGGACTGTAGACCCATGAATTGCAGATTCTGCACACACAACTCTAGTCATAACAGACCCAGAACTTCAGAGTCACACCACACACCTGGAGGATGGAGGACTCAGACACAGTGAACGATACAGCAGAAGACAGTTGTCTTGAGATAAAGAATAGACTTCAGATTTGCCTACTGAAAGTTATTACTAGATCTCAGAAAAATATCTTTCCCAACAATGAAGTCTGAGATGTAGCCTGGTGAAAACACTGAAACCTAGGATAGAGAAAGGAATCCTGTAAACATCTGAGTGTGGACACCCGAGTGTAGTCACCTTCAGGATGTGGGAGAGCAGTGGTGGGTGGGCGCTCAGGTTGGCGACAGACTGCTTCACGCTGAGTCACACTCGGGGTTGGAAGGGAGTGGAGTGATGTCTGAAAAGTTCCGAGAGAGAATGTGTGACTCAAATATCTCCTACCCCGTCAAGCTATTCTTTTAAGTAAAGGAGTCCATAGACAGGGTTGTTCTAGAAGGTGGCCATTGCAAACCTGTTGAGAAAAACTGCTTGATAGTTGAACCCTGCTGACCACGGGATAAATCTAAAGGAGGATTTAAGAACGGGAAAGCTGTTGTAATAGGACTTGTGGTGGGCATAAATCCCACTTCAGAACAACTGGATATTTTGGTTTTAGATCATCATTTATATGTTGCAAGCCTTGAAAACATTTTATCACGCAAATCCGGATGTTAGGAAGGGGTGGTGCGAAGAAGGGTGTTGACGTCCTCCTCTCTGCACATAAGGCACCATTTCAAGCTAAAGTAGGTCATTAAGTGAAGATCCTAACCTCTTAAAGGAATAATGTTGACAGTACATTCATAATGAAAAGTTCTGGGTACTGTTCTTTTGATTTTTTCCCCTTTATTGTAGATTGTGAACATTTTTGTTGTTAGGATTTTGAAGGGGTTGTCAATAATATGTTAAATTGCTGGGGAGTTAGTTTTGTGATTTTTTAAAAAATCCTCATTTAGACCTCAGCTAACAGTGGTGAGAACCTTGCTTCTGTCGGTGCTGCGTGCCTGTGACAGCCCCCGGCCCGCCCCCACTTTACCCTGCTGATGTGTAGCTTTCAGGTGAGAGCGCTGAGTTGCCAAGTTCTACTTTCAAATGTCTCCCTTTACTTTTTGTGTTTTAAGGTGTATTTTGATTACATGAGAAGCTGGATCCAAATGCTACAGCAATTACCTCAAGCATCGCATAGTTTAAAAAATCTGTTAGAAGAAGAATGGAATTTCACCAAAGAAATAACTCATTACATACGGGGAGGAGAAGCACAGGCCGGGAAGCTTTTCTGGTAGGAATCCTTGTGCTTCTGAACGCGACGCTCCCACCTTCTCACTCTCACACCATTTACTCACTGATTCTCTCCTATGTGTTTGTATGTTTAGTTACATGAAAATTGCAGTTATCCATATCTCATATGTGCACCCTCTTCCAAGTTTTGAGTGGTGTTTCTCAGTCAGGGGTGATTTTTTCCCCTTGGGGACATTGGGCAGTATCTGGAGACACTTGATGGTCATGACTGGGAAGATGCTCCTGGCAGCGAGTGGGCGGGGGGAGGGAGGCTGCCGCACATTCACGGCACACAGAACAGCCCCACAACAGAATTATCCACTCAGATGTCAGCTTTGAACTTGAGAACTTCTGCCCTAGAATAAACTCTTTTTCCCCCTAATAAAAGGAAGGAGATTGTAAGTCCTTCAAGAGTAGAATATACCCGCGTATATCAGTCTTGGTGGGGACATGCAGAACTTAAGAAGTATTTTAAGCATTTTTACTGCCACTGTTTGGGGAATGTAGTGCTCATCACAGACTCTCTTTATGAATTGGGTGTATATAGGGTGAAGGAATAGAAGTGTAAACAAGGGGGAATCATGAAGAGAGCAGTGCAGAGTCGCAGGGCTGGTCTGTCAGTTCTAGGAAATGAACATCTTGCATGCAAGCTTGGGATCGCTGGGCACAGGCCGCGTCTCCGTGGTCTTTGCTGGTGGCCACTGCACCTCGGACTTGCTTTGGCTCAGATGAGGATCAGTGTCCTTCTGTGCTTTAGATTCTGCTGCTGTCTTTTGGCACCACCTTCTCCCACTTGTCTCATCAGGCATTTTATTTTTTCTGTATCCCTTTTATAAAGTCTCATTCATAAGAGCATGCCTATTCTAGTCCTAGACCCCATTGCATTTTGTCTCTTGTATTAGAGCAGCAGCTTCTGCTGCCTACCCTGTCTCCTGGTCCCGTCAGCGTGACTTCTGCAGGACTCTAGCTTTAGCTTTGTTCTTGACTCTGCCGATTTCTCCTATGTTCAGTCTCGGAATCTCGTATCCACTTCTCTGTTCTAATGGCCAGTTCTTTTTACATCCTCTCTCTTTATTTGGAGTGGACAGTGAACTTGCTCTCCTCTCATAACTCCATCCGTCAGGCTGTGATCCCCAGGCTGTCTTTGCTTGTCTGTTCAGCTTGGTGCCCATAGTCAGCCTTTTTAAAAAAGGCATTCATTGTCATTTGCAACATGTCTCCCCCCTTACTTTTCCATGATTCTGCTTTGCCTAATTCCTTCTGTTTGCATTTTCTGTTTCCAACCTGTCAAGCTTTGTTGAAGAAATGTTTTTAAAGGTTACTCTTTAGTTTCACTACAAATTCATGTTGTTTAGTGTCACTGTACCCTCACTTCCTCTTGTCAGTCTTTGTGTTTCTATCTTTTGCTTGTCCTTCAAATTCCCTAGAGTGCAGTCTCTGGCCTTTGCTTTCATGATCCTCGCCCTGAGAAGCTCCAGGGCTTTTTCATTCCCCCTTCTTGTGAACAGTCCACTTTTATTCTAGTTCTGGACTCCACTGCATTTTATCTGTTGTATTAGAGCAGCAGCTCCGGCTTCAAACACTGTTTCTCCCAGGGTCAGTCGGTGTTGGAATCAGCGCTGACTCCTTTGTTTCCTGCACACACTACCTCGACTCTTTTTGGGTGCCCTTTGAGGGTATATCCAGAATCTGACCTCTGCCTCTCAAGCACTCCACACTTCCACTCTTCCCAGGTTGTCATTTCTCACGTATGTTATTGCAGTAGCTCTCTAAACAGTCTCCCTACTTCTGCCTGAAGCCTCCTAGAGTTTATTCTCAACACCACAGCCTGAATGGTCTGGTTAAAGTGTATGTCAGACCATTGTCTTCTCTCAATTTCCCAGTGGCTCCCCATCTTACTCAGGAAACGTAAGACTGCCTAACAATGGCCCGCAAGGCCTGACATGGTCCTATTTCTCATTACGTCTTTGTCCTCCTTCTAGACCCTCCTGTCCTGTGCTCGCTTCCCAGCCACAGTGGCTTCCTCACTGTCTCGGGCCAGGCATGTTCCAGCCTTAGGCCCTTTTCACCAGCTGGCCCCTCTGCATGGAGTGCTCTTCCTCCCAGTTATTTTCATGACTTGTTTCCCCACTTCCTTCAGGTCTTTATCCAGATGTTACCTTCTCGGTATATTTAAGATGGAAATTCCTACCCACAACTCCTTAGCTTTTTTCTCTGTTCCTTTTCTCCATAGCACTTACCAATAACCTGAAATACATTTCACATTTTTGTTTTATTTATTGTGTTTCTCCATCCACTGGAGGGCTTTTACTGGTTTTGTTTGCTGCTGCTTAGTACGTAATAGGCACTCAATATTTGTTGAATAAGTACATTCTAGTATTTTTGTATAATGTTCTTTAAAAGCATTGTTTCCAATCAGACCCCTTTCCCAATCAGATATTTTAAAATTTACTCTCTTTGCTTATCAAACGCCAAACTAATGAGCATGACATCCATTGCCCTCCACAGCATGGCCGCAGGACTTTCCCCTGTCCCTTTGTAGCCTAAATACCCACTACTCTTCAGATTGGATGATTTTCTTTTTTCATGAACATGCTTGCTTGACTACATCTTCATGCTTTTTAATCATATTTATTGTTCTTCCTGGACTTTCCTTCCGCCTTTTCCATTTTCTTCCTCGCAGATTTTCCTTTTCCCAGTATTAGTCCACCTGTTAAAATTCTGCATTTGCCTGCAAGGCCCATTGCAGGGCTTTCTGGACATGAAGCCATGCCTTCAATGGGTCTGAAACTGTGCCTTCGGGGTTGGTCTTTCTCCTCCTCCGACAAGCCTAGCACTTACCTCCTGCTGCATCTGATATTAGTTCTGTGCTTACCTGCTCTCTGTTACTAGATCCTAAGTTTTTTTCCTTGAACATCCTAAGTCAGTAAACTGTGGTTGAATTTTACTTCACTCATTTAGATTCATTTTATATACTGGGGTGTACATTTTAACACTAGTATTTAGAATTGTGTACTCAATGAGAAGGATCAGCCAGATAGAGTGTTTCATGTTTATTGACTATACAAAGCTAATTGTGGGGGAAATTTGTAAAAACAGTTGAATTTAAGGAATTCCCTTTCCCTCTTATCCTATCATTTAGTTTGAGGCCATTTTATGGAAAATTTCCATTTAGATGGAAATAACATTTGTGTACTAATTCCATAGCTACTATGAATACAGTTTAAGATTTTAAGGTTTATATTGAGATACTGTGGTAGTAGAACAAAGGTAGGTACATGTCATAATCCAGATTCCTATTTTTCCACGTCCAGGGTTTTATATTAAAAGAAGAGAAATTTTTCATTTTTGATTTTTAAACCATTAGAGCAGTAGCTGAGCCTTTCAAGTTTCTCAGTCAAGAATTAGGCTATGAGTAGGGACAGTTTTCTTCTCTGTTTTATTTTTATTTTTGTTCCCTTAGTGACATTGCAGGAATGCTGCTGAAATCTACAGGAAGTTTTTTAGAATTTGGCTTACAGGAGAGCTGTGCTGAATTTTGGACTAGTGCGGATGACAGCAGTGCTTCCGACGAAATCAGGTTGGAGTTGTGCTTCCTTTCCCCTTCCACTTCTTATCTCGTAGTTTCCTTCCTCATGGTGAGATCCTAGAAGGAGCCTTGTTCAAACCAAATTGTGTTGGCCTGGAAGAATTTGGGCAGTAGATGTAAAGGGATTTATTTATAACTGCCTTGTCTTTTCATGTGATTTCTTAGTTATGGTTTTATGTGAAATTTTCTTTGAAGGGGAACTTAGAATTTATTTAGTGTGATAAAAATAGTGCCAACTGGCTGGGCGCGGTGGCTCACGCCTGTAATCCCAGTACTTTGGGAGGCCGAGGTGGGTGAATCACCAGGTCAGGAGTTCAAGACCAGCCTGGCCAAGATGGTGAAACCTCGTCTCTACTAAAAATACAAAAAAAACAGCTGGGCGTGGTGGCACGCACCCGTGATCCCAGCTATTCAGGAGGCTGAGGCAGAAAATTTCTTGAACCCAGGAGGCAGAGGTTGCAGTGAGCCAAGATCATGCCACTGCACTCCAGCCTGGGTGACAGAGCAAGACTCCGTCTCAAAAAAAAAAAAAACTAAAGATAAAGAGATAAAGTTGACTGAAAAAAATGAGTAGAATTTTCTTTATTTACATTGTCTGGGATGCCTTTTATATTAGTTTCTGTTCTTAAAAAATCTGTGTAGTGGTCCATTAATACATTTTAATGACATTTGGTACATTTTTATTCTTAGTGCATTCCTTCTGTTGAACTTTAAACTTAAGTGTATGAAACTATGGTTTTTCTCTGTTGAATTTCCTCCAGTTCTGTGCAGATGGTATTTAGGTCGAAACTTTTGAAATTGCTACTCTTTGTGGTATATATATCAGGCGTATAGCAACTTTGTGGCCATAGAATCAGCAAGGTCATATGAGTCAAACTTGGCGAAAGCTCATATAGAACTGACTTCTCCAAAGCGAAAATGTTTTCGCTCACCATTCAAGGTTTGATGAAAAACACATTTTGAGTTTCAGAACACCTGGTATGTTTTTATGCCAAGGTTAAAGAAAGAAGTTCCCACATGGTTTCTCACCTGGGAAAATATTGAATAGCTGAGAAATGGAATAAATAAGTTTGTAGGTCTCACAGTTTTGAGAGCTAACATGGTGGGTTCAAAATAACCCCAAGCATGTAGATTCCAAAGAAACATGAGAAGGCAGGAATGAAGATGGTGAACTAGAGAGCGGTTCCAGTTCAGGGGGCCATGGGCAGTGGTGTGCTGGAGCTGCTTCTCCCGGCTTGAGAGAGCTGATCATGCACATCTCTTCCCATTTCATTGCTCAGGGACATCATACTGCTGCCTTGAAATTAGCTATGATGGGAGTATTTACACCACAGAAATCGGCATGCATTACATAAGATAGTAATTTAGGGTCACCCAGTTGTTAAATATTTCCCAGATCACACTGTATAGATTTCTTTTTAGATTACGAGCCAGGAGTTAAGAACTTAACCTTAAACTCCAAGAAATGATCATAATGAAATGTTAAGAAAATTGAGCTTCCTATTATTTGAAGGTTATTAAATGTGCCCTGCTTACATTGAAAGGATATGAATATTTTCTACAAAACTGTCAGGAGCAGGCTTCTGAATGTTTTGACTACATCTTCAATAATAGTTTGTTCCCATTTAAAAAATCCTCAGTCTTTATTTATTACTGTGATTTGGAATTTGCTTCATCTTTATTGTTAAATCCCTCTTGCACCTCTGGAATATTCCCTAATGTGTTCTAACTGGACTTGAATCCACTTGGCAGGAGGTCTGTTATAGAGATCAGTCGAGCCCTGAAGGAGCTCTTCCATGAAGCCAGAGAAAGGGCTTCCAAAGCACTTGGATTTGCTAAAATGTTGAGAAAGGTGAGCTTGCAATCCTGATTAATTAGTACCTTTTTTCTTGTTTTTCTTTTATCTTATTTTTTTAATGCTAACCGTAAAGAAGTTTCTTTGTAACTGTGATCCTAGGACCTGGAAATAGCAGCAGAATTCAGGCTTTCAGCCCCAGTTAGAGACCTCCTGGATGTTCTGAAATCAAAACAGTATGTCAAGGTAAGTACTTCAAATGTTGTGATTGAAACATTTTGCCTTTCCTTCTTTATTCTAAAACAGGCAGACTTTTTCTTGAAGGTCCAGATAGTAAATATTACAGGCTCTGAAGGCTGTACCACAACCCCAGTTGTAAGACTGTCCTGTAATTCACCAGTGGAATAATGAAACAGTCTTTTTCATACTTGACTTACTAACTTGTCTTCAGAGTGTAGATAAATAATAAAAAGTTTACTCATGCTGTTTATTAATTTAGTTACACATATTTAAAATAATGTGTATAAGGAGATAATATTCATTTTAAATTATGGTTTTGTTTTTCACCCTTATATTTCCTGATGCAGTTCAAAGGTTTTACAGTGAATCTTTGACATCAAGATCCTGGTCATCACTAGAGCCACTTTTTGAGTCAGCAACTTTACTCCACTTTAAGTTGTTGGAGATTTAGCACAGTTAGAATCCGTATGTGATGTCATCACTGGACATTTTATCCCAAGCCCACAGTTGTATCCCGCTCCCATACTGAGAGTGGGAGGGATGACCTGCAGCGTGCCACCACATGTGTACCCTTTGAGAAACTGATCTCAAGGAGCCTTCTTGTGATGAACCCCTGGCTCCCTGCCCTGGAATAATTAGAGAATCTGTATTAACAATTTTTGCCTTTTTCCCAAGCCAGGTGACTTTTTGTAAGCATCACAAACTAGCAGTGGTTGAGGTTCTTTCAGGCTGCCTTGCCTCCCCGTCGAGTATTTTCTTTGTTGTTGAAAATAAAGCAGTGAGGAGGATGTCCAATAATCGGGGAGACTCTGTAAGGCCTCTCCTCCAGTGCGTTCACAGACTCTCCTCCTCCTGCCTCCTTCAGTCACACTGAAGCCGGCTACCTGCAGTTCCCTCACTGCTCCAATTCATGCCCTTCCCACTTTCCCTTTCCCAAACCTGCCTCTCCTTTCCTAGGTTTGTTTTAAATAACCTATTTCTCTAATGTACAGTGTTCCTTAAGATTTTGGATTATGTCTTTTGCAGGTGCAAATTCCTGGGTTAGAAAACTTGCAAATGTTTGTTCCAGACACTCTTGCTGAGGAGAAGAGTATTATTTTGCAGTTACTCAATGCAGCTGCAGGAAAGGACTGTTCAAAAGATTCAGATGACGTACTCATCGATGCCTATCTGCTTCTGACCAAGCACGGTGATCGAGCCCGTGATTCAGAGGACAGCTGGGGCACCTGGGAGGCACAGCCTGTCAAAGTCGTGCCTCAGGTGGAGACTGTTGACACCCTGAGAAGCATGCAGGTACAGCTCATCTCCATCTTTGCAGCAGTGTTACTTCAAGGACTTTTAGTAAGAATGAACTGTTAGCTGCTCATGAATGAGGGGTTTGACTACCCTAGTAATCACAAGTATATACTTCCCAAAAATATGCCTCAATGTGTTAATAGGTCATTTTGCAGCATAATTTGTACAATATATCATTCTGTTAAGTTAAATTATACTGGAATACTTGAAATAAACCATCTATCTGGTTTATATCTTTTCTTAGTTCAGTCATGTAGTTAGATCTGTGGAGCTATGATCTAAAAGGAGTTATGTCACTAATATAATTTGTAGTTCTAGAAATCCCAGTTCTCCAAGTACTCAGGTTTACTGGTTATTTAATTTTAATTTTTTGTAGTGAAGGCTATCCCCTCCCTACCTAACAGGGACCTCGTGACAGTTTCTATAACTCATTAGTTATAAACTATGAGAAGCTTTCTCATTTATCTGTGTTCAGCTTAGGAACAGTCATGGTGAGTGTTCATATGCACCTTGAGCTCAGCCTCACCAGAACTGAGTATACACTGGCCTGCTGTATCCCTCACCCCAACAACTCTGCTTTTATATTCCGTCTCAGTGAATGGTTCCGCGTTCACTCACATGTTTAAACCAGAAGTGTGACAGCTAATATAAATTCAGCCTCCCATCTTTCCAGTTAATACCTTGCCCTGGAAAGCCAGAAGCATTTCCAGTAAATGATCCTTTCCCTGCATCCCCAGAGCAGCTGCTGTAGTCAGCACTTTACCATCCCTCTCCTGAACTATTGCAGTTTCTGACTTTGAGTTTCCCTGCTTCAAACCTCACCTTCTGTCTCTCCAATTCTGTGTTTGTTTTTGTGCTTCTAGAATGATCATTATAATACATCTGATTGCATCACAGATCTACTTAAAATACTGCAAAGATTCTTCATCTCTTAAGAACAAAAGTAATAAAGTCTTGATTTCTTAATGTTTTATATAAGGCCCCTCATCTTATTTCTGTCTTATTCCTACATTTTCCTTCTTCATATGCTGCTCCAATACACACACACATGCACACATACACACACACACTCACACACACTCTGCACTGGCAGTACTGAACTACTTGAAGTTCTAGGATATCTCAAAGATGTCATGCCTGCAGTCCCAAAGGGTTCTTCTCCGTGGTGCTGAATATCCCAGCTGTCAATGCCCACTGAAGCGTGTTGCTGTGTAGGAGAAGCTTTGCTTAAAAATGACTTTCTGATTAGATGGTTGTTGGCCTGGTATCCCTGAGATTGGCATTGTTTTTGGACTGGTGTTGAACTAGAATAACAACTAGTAACTGGGTTGGTTTTTATGTCCTGTGCTTGATTTTCCTCCCAGGTGGATAATCTTTTACTAGTTGTCATGCAGTCTGCGCATCTCACAATTCAGAGAAAAGCTTTCCAGCAGTCCATTGAGGGACTTATGACTCTGTGCCAGGAGCAGACATCCAGTCAGCCGGTCATCGCCAAAGCTTTGCAGCAGCTGAAGGTATTACACTGTCCTCTACATTAGCTGAGATTTTTCCTTTTTGATGAAAGTCAGTGTGTGGTAATGTGTGTAAGGTAATATCATCCAAGGAACTTGAGCTCCTGAATTGCCTGCCCACTCACCTCTCTTCCCAATACATATTTTCTTATGTCTAAACTACATATTCTGAGATTCTTCCTGAAGCTGTAGAACTTTATAATTGGAAAGGATAGAGAATTGAACTTTATGTGACTTATTCATAATGGCTACATGACTGGTTAGTGGCAAAGTTGAAAATTTAATAATTTAGGTCTCTTCATTCCCAGTGTAAATTTCATTCTCCTTTCACAATCCCCAGTATTTACTAGAGGTACTCCATATCAGCAGTGTGTAATAGAAGATTTATTTATTGTTTTGTTTAATAAATAATTCAACCAAATTAAATATAATAGAAAAAAGTTGCAGAGAAGTACAAAGGCCTTTCAAAGTTTATGACAAGCCCCAGCCTGGCTGTCTTTTTCCATTATTTCCTGTTTTTGACACTTTCTATTTTGTATCCCATGTATCAGTCTTGATCTCATCCACACTTTTCCAGGCCATCAGTTATGTCTTCTCACTCACATTAAGGCTTAACTTCTTGAAGAAGAAACATTCTCTGAAGTTACAAGTCATTTCGTAAACACTTGTTTTTCTTCTGTTGGTCTGATTTGTCTGATTTATCTATAAACATTTATTAACTAAATATTTAGGTTATCTCTCTCTATGGATTGCTGGAAGAATATTTTGTAACCATAGTAAGGGGATTGCCTGATGGAGACCTTGTGTGCACTCGTGTGTAAGGGTGGGTAGAGAGAGAGACCGATTTGGAGCTATTGTGATGTTGCTGACAGAGGTGACAAAAGCTCGAGCCAGGGCAGGGCTTCTCAGCCTCTTGGATGTGGACGTTTGGGCCCGTAACTCTTGGTCGTGGAGGGCCGTCCTGCGCATTGTAGGATGTTTAGAGCTAGGGCAGGGCTTCTCAGCCTCTTGGATGTGGACGTTTGGGCCCGTAACTCTTGGTCGTGGAGGGCTGTCCTGCGCATTGTAGGATGTTTAGAGCCAGGGCAGGGCTTCTCAGCCTCTTGGATGTGGACGTTTGGGCCCGTAACTCTTGGTCATGGAGGGCCGTCCTGCGCATTGTAGGATGTTTAGAGCCAGGGCAGGGCTTCTCAGCCTCTTGGATGTGGACGTTTGGGCCCGTAATTCTTGGTCGTGGAGGGCCGCCCTGCGCATTGTAGGATGTTTAGAGCCAGGGCAGGGCTTCTCAGCCTCTTGGATGTGGACGTTTGGGCCCGTAACTCTTGGTCGTGGAGGGCCGTCCTGCGCATTGTAGGATGTTTAGCAGCATCCCTGGCCTCTACTCACCATATCCCAGTACTTCCACTTTTTCCTCCAAATTTTGACCATCAAAAACTTCTCTGGACAACGTCTCCAGACGCTGAGGGGAGGGGGAGAAATCTGCCCCAGAAGAGAACCCCTGGACTAGGGAGTAGCAGGGAAATGAGGACAGCACGATCGGAGGAGGTCATCTAGAAGTACATGGACTTTTTCACTCTGTGGAATTGCACCCGTACTTATGGTTGAGCAACCGTCCAGGAGGAGAAAACAACAGGTGGTTGATGTATAAAAATATTGAAGATAAAAGCATCTATTCCAAGAGCAGATTATAACTAGACTGTATCATTTTAAATGCATTTTTTTCTCTTCTATTTAAGAATGCCAAATAAAATGACATAATTTCTTCTATATTTGGTAATTCCTTTACCAAGTGGCTGAATTGTTTGTAGTGGTTAATGTCTGTGTGATGATGAACGAAATCTTCCTTTAAAATGTGGTAAGTATTGTATGATTTGCTTCATTTTGCATTAATCATGGTTTGGACTCTTCAGAATGATGCATTGGAGCTATGCAACAGGATAAGCAATGCCATTGACCGCGTGGACCACATGTTCACATCAGAATTTGATGCTGAGGTTGATGAATCTGAATCTGTCACCTTGCAACAGTACTACCGAGAAGCAATGATTCAGGGGTACAATTTTGGATTTGAGGTAGGTTCAAAATAAGAGGAAACACGGTACAATTTAGTAATTGCTTGATAACTTACAGAAAGTTTTTGGAACCTTTTACAGTAAATCTGATATTGTAATCATAGCTTAATCAAGAATATCATCTTATATCACTGCTGTATATCAGAGATGTTAGTTTACTTTTAAACTGTTAGGTAATTGTCCAACTTTTATTTTGTGCTAACAGCCATCTACTTACATTTTAAAACTTTAAAGAGATGTTTTATGTCATAAAAGCACATTCTTAATTTAAACTCAGGAGTAAAACATTTATGAAACTGCATTTTGAAACACTGTACTTTCCATAATTCTTCATACTATTCAAAATATAGAAATTTTAATTGGATTTCACTTTTTGTTTTTAGAAAACATTTTAGACATGGCATTATAGTGTGTGATATTATTTAATGATCATTTCCTTAATGTTGATATACATGAAATCTTCTTACAGTATCATAAAGAAGTTGTTCGTTTGATGTCTGGGGAGTTTAGACAGAAGATAGGAGACAAATATATAAGCTTTGCCCGGAAGTGGATGAATTATGTCCTGACTAAATGTGAGAGTGGTAGAGGTACAAGACCCAGGTAATGACCAAGTAGGATGTTTCTGAAATGTGTCATGTGGGCTTGGTGGTATTTGTTCATATATGTTCTGTGGGATTCTTTTTGAGCAGACGACACAGAAGGGAACACTCTAAACTCTTCGGTGATCAGGTTTTTTTTAATGGAAAAATATGTAGAGAAAACTGCGTAACTCTTGGGAAAAAATTTTTTTTTAAATTTGTTCCAAATTTGAGTTACCTTTAAGGGAACTCATGTTCTCCTTTGACAAGTCTTCCTGATGACTAATGTATTTTCCTCCCTCATGAAATTTATTCATTAAGAAACCATTTTGGAATTTGCAGGGGTGAAATGGGTGAATCGTCTGTGAGGCTCAATACTAGCTCCACTAAAGTAAACATAGTTATTAAAGTGTCATGACTGTGTGAGAAATAGCTGAGTGTTCTGTAATTTGTAATGGAGGGATAGCATGGGGCACTTTCTTAAAGTCATTAAGCAATTTCTCCAAGTTAGAGAAAACACATTTGCTGCATCTGAGATTCAAAGTAGGAACTTTGTGTTACAAAACTCATAAATACTTGTTGAATTACAAATAAATAATTGTTGAATTACAGATGGCACCTATCATGTCTAAAATCCTCTTCCATGCTTCCCATTGGTTTCAAAACAAAATTAAATTTTAAAAAATTATTCTCCTTTCCAAAAGGTCACGCTGTAAACTTACTGAACCCAAGCAAAAAAAAGTGTCTTGTCCTAAATAGTAATTATAATTATGTTACTTTTCAGTATTGTACAGTCTAAAACTGCTACAGCGTTTTCTTGGTTGTTATGTGATTACTGAACTTTTTCGTGTACCAGGTGGGCGACTCAAGGATTTGATTTTCTACAAGCAATTGAACCTGCCTTTATTTCAGCTTTACCAGAAGATGACTTCTTGGTATGGATTATTCTAAAGTTTTTTTCATTATAAAATAAGCCAGTCACTCCTTATTTTCTGGTTGTATATGTTTTATATGTAATAGTGGTTTTTTTCATGAGATATTAATCTCAGCATATCATGTAATGATAATGCTGAGAAATTAAAGTACTCCTCATAGCAGAGTAAGATTTTTTTTCTTTTTGTAACATTAGTGTTCAACTAAGTCAATGTCTGGTTTGTAAACCCTGGCCCTTCTAAAATATTTGTGAGATTTATATTTTTACTGCCATCATAGCTGCTGCTTTGGGGCAGAACAAGGATTAGCTCTTTTACCTCAGTGTGCATCATTTTGAGAGCATCATGCTCGTGTTAAATATTATCACTGTTAGTCTGATAAGTGTCATCAGATTAGCATGATATTGCTCAAAGTGTGAATTCATTTATTTTATTCTCCCAGTAGTAGAGACGATTACATGAAAAGTTCTTTGCTTGTACACGTTATTGTGTTATGGGAAATTGACAGCTAATTTGCTTTTACTTATAAAAATGAAATACACTGTATTATTTTAAATTACATACAATTTGTGTTTATACCTATTTTCTTTTAAACTAACTGAAAATATTTTGGGTAGCATGTTTTTAAAAATATACTGAAAATTAATTTGTGCTACTTACATAATTAAGAAAGTATGCATGTTTTCTCTTTACCTTTCCCATTTTCTTTTGGTTTCTAGAGTTTACAAGCCTTGATGAATGAATGCATTGGCCATGTCATAGGAAAACCACACAGTCCTGTTACAGGTTTGTACCTTGGTAAGACAGCCGTTAACAGCATTTCTTCTGGAACATAATGATTTGAGTGGACAGATCCTCTTGTAATTGCAGTCGTTTAAAATGGTATAAGAGGTGTTTTAACAGTATTCAGGAAAACGACAATGAGAGGGACAGAAATGAGGTGTGTAGATAGAGAACTCCGCAGCAACCTTTCTAAATCTGACAGGAAGATTAAAACGTCAGCCATACGCTATTCCATACCAGCCAGCAGTATTCAATTACACATTTCTTTCTATACCAACACTACCATTCTTTTTTCCCCCTTACCATCTTTTCTGATGGGGAGGAAAGACTGGAAGAGGGCGTTGTCTGCCAAGCAACAGGAACTGCCCCTGCTGCAGGTGGCTGCAGATCACTTCCCTGTCCCCCGTTCCTCACCTTTGAGGAGAGCAGTGTCCATTTCTCCACAGCTTTCCCAAGTACCCATCTTCCCACCAGCTGTAGTAAATTCTGATTTGGTTTTACTGTTTAAAAAATCAAGTTAAGTTATGCTGCTATATATATTACTTCAATTACAATTTTTGGTTACAGTTTATGTACAATTTTACAGTAACAATGAATGATTAACACTTTTATAGTATATGTTGAAATGTTGAAAACAAAATATATGTCAAAAAAAGCTGTGTCTTATGCCGTTCTTGAGATAGTTTGTAAATAAAACAAAACTGTATTTGTAAGTAATAAACACCCAAGAAAGAAACTTAGAAATTTTATGCAATTTAAATTACACAAAATATAATTCATAAATGGTAAATTTATTGAACACTAACTGTATTTCATATAGGGTACTTGCTGGCTGCAGAAAATTCAGTAGAATGGGTTTTAATTGTTGGTTTTTTAATCTTCAGTTTATACCTCTTTTTCTCCCAAGGTTGTCGTGAAAATGAAAGTTAACATTTGTAAGACTATTTGAGCATTTTATATAAAGCATGCTATTGTCTTATCAGGTTATTGCTTAAGCTGTGAATAATTTTGATTTTCTGATATCCTAAAACACTTCTCTAAGAACACATGATCGATAATTCAGTAAGAATTACTTTAAAATATTTTATTAGATAAGGAATCATTTTCATTGTGGAAAAATCACAACATAGAAAAAGTATCTAGAAAAATATGGAAGATGTTCATTTAGAAAATTTATCAATGTAGAAAAAGATTACAAAAGACAAAATAAAAATGACTCATACTTCCTGAATCCAAAGGTAGTCCCGGGTAACATCTGAGTCGCTCATCTTTCAATATGCCTGCCACTCCAAACTGCAGTGGGACAGTTAATTAATAGCGCTCTCTGGAGACTCACATGGTCCTTTGTCCTCTCAGTCACTATGGGTTAGTGGAACTGAACTGTCGGGGGCCTGGACAGCAATTTTCCTGGGGCTGCTCATTTAACATCATTGAGCCTCTCTTTTTAATGAATGAAACTGGATGCTAATGAGGATTAAATAAGTAATAACAATGTGTAAATTCTAGTGTTCCATACGCAACAGGGGTCATCATTTGGTTTTGTGTTCTTTTCTTACAAAAGAAATGAATGAAAATGAGAGCACATCAACTGTCATTTTGTTGTTATTGTTGCTTACTTTCTTCCTTTCCCTCTGTTGTAAGCACATAACAAATAACAACCTGGTATGTAAGCTTCCATATTTTCTATAGATTCATATAGTCACACAAATGCATTCTCCCTGTACCTTTCTCTGTGCCCATTTCATCACACAGTCATATATAGGGTGGTTCGTTTACAATTGGAGAAATGTCTCCAAGTCAACAGGTATTGATCTCACTTGTTCTTTTCATTGGCCACACTGTGGCCGTCATGAATGTACTGTAATTCTTTCTACCATTTTTTGATGGGCTTTTGTTTGTTTTGGCTGTGAAAAGCATCTCTATAATCAGTGTTTACCAGTAGTGAAATTTGAACATCCATTTTGCTTATTAGCTATTTGAATTTTCTTTCCAATGAAGTGGAAAGTTTTGCAGTGTTACATATACCTACTATTAAAATAATTGTTTTGTTTCATGCAAAACATGTGCACATGGTTTTTTAAACAGAATGTCTTTATTTGTAGGAAAATTTTTACTAATTTTTGACTAGTTCCCAGTATCTTTGCTCAATTAAAGACTCACCAAATCTTTTGTTTTTTTTTAACCTTTGTTACTATTGAATTTCTTCCATTTGTTACTATTGAATTTCTTCCATTTGCCATTGTAATAGCTAGGATAATGAATCAGAGACACAAATTGCCTGAGGGTTTTTTGTTAACAATCCCTTAAGTTTTGTTTTGTAAGTTCTGTAAGGGAACTTCAGATCTCTCCATTTTTACTACTTCTGTCTCTCTTGTTTCCCCTTATTAATAGGAAACAAAATCATGAAGAAACAGGATTTCCATTTAGGATAAAACCTATTTGGGATAAAACATATATAAACTAAAATTATTAACATGAAGAGAAACTATGACATTAAAAAAATACTAAGGAGGGTTAAAACAGAGTGGTAAAAGTGAAGAAGAGAAAAGCATGTTACGGAGAGTAGGCAAAATATGACGCATGTCCACTAATACTGACATCTAGTTATTGGGAAAGTGGAATTATCAGCATATTTGTAATCACTAGGTAAGATCTCTAATTTTAAATTTTATCTAGTTTTAAATTTTTATTTTAAATTTTATTCATATTTACCTATTACCAGAATAAAAGAAAAAGAGAAGAAAACATGCTCTTGAAAAAAATGACTCAGTTAAATCTACCTGATCTGGTTTAAAGGAACTGAATAAAACTCCATGCACTCAGGACAATGACAGTGACCTCAAAGGCAGGACCTCTTGAAATGTCGCCAGTGACCACAATCTTTTTAACGTGTAGACAACATAAAGAACTCCTTTTTATTAGGGAGATACCACATTTTCATGTATCTCTAAAATGGGTTAAATCATTTGTTTAGCTTACATTATGTATGTTTTACTCCAGGATTTTTAAAAATGTTTTTTGATGGAGAAAACTGTTAATATATAATAGGGCTTTACTGACTTTTAAAAAGTGACATTTTCCATAATATTTGTATATGTAATATTATTTTTTACTTATATAAATGGACTTACCTTGGTCATTGGCCAGAATAAGTGACATTCTATTTTCCATTTGACTGTTTGGTTTGATGATTTTCTGTGGACCATATTAACAAGTTGCATTTGTTGCCATTTTTGCTGGCAGCCATTCATCGGAACAGCCCCCGTCCTATGAAGGTACCTCGATGCCATAGTGACCCTCCTAACCCACACCTCATTATCCCCACTCCAGAGGGATTCAGGTATTTGGTGCTTATCTAGTCATTTGCTTTACAGAGTGCCCTCCGATATGCATGCTCATACTTTTGAAACTACTAGATGCTTGCTCTGAGAGCTAAATACCTTTTCTGCATTGTTCGTACGTAAAAGCTCTTACTTGCATTATCTTGAAACCTTTAGTCGCAAAAGAAAAAGACATGCAAATTTAAAACAGACCTGTGCCTTTCAAGATAACTTCGTTTCTCAGCTTATTTATAACCTCAAGCTACTACATGCTTTCTGGCTGTGGAGTCATTTTTTCCTTTCCTGCCTTTGAAAAATAACCTTCAGAAAACAAATTTGAATATGGATAGTGTAGTCAACATTTGAAAACATACTAAATATCACTAAAAGTGGAGAAAAACTGGAATGAGCTTTCCAGATTCAATTTTTATCTGCATATGTAATTACAAAGCAACTTAAACACTAAGTGAATTCAGAAACTATAGTACATTCACGATAACTGCCTTGAATGTGGTGGCATTTCTGCATCTTGAGGTAGTGAGCACCTTCTCTCGCCTGTATAATCAGTTTTTAAAAGTTTAATTTTATTTGACAATATTTGCTAGATAAGGACCACAGTTTTTTGTTTTTTTTTTAAAGCTTTGAGGGGACCGGGGTGCGGTGACTCACGCCTGTAATTCCAGCACTTTAGGAGGACGAGGCGGGAGGATCACTTGAGCCCAGGAGAACAGCCTGGGCAACGTAGCAAAACATCATCTCTACAAAAAATACAACAAAGATAATAGCTGGGTATGGTGGCCGTGCCTGTAGTCCCAGCTACTCAGGAGGCTGAGGCAAGGAGGATCACTTGAGCCCAGGAGGTCAAGGCTGCAGTGAGCTATGATTGCGCCACTGCACTCCAGCCTGGACAACAGGGTGCGATGCTGTCTCAAAAAAAAGAAAAGCTTTGAAGTTAGGTTTTTTCTTTTTTACACCTAGACTCAAATCTCAAAGAACAATTTGCATTTTATATTTTTAAATATATTTCACCCCCTTGCCATATTTTATTTTTAATTGAAAACAATTTTCAAGTCCGTTCCCTCTTCTCACATGTGTTCCTGAAGCTTTTCTTCTTGTCTTAGCACTCGGAGCATGCCTTCCGACGCGCGGAGCCATGGCAGCCCTGCTGCTGCTGCTGCTGCTGCTGCTGCTGCTGTTGCTGCCAGTCGGCCCAGCCCCTCTGGTGGTGACTCTGTGCTGCCCAAATCCATCAGCAGTGCCCATGATACCAGGTAGTCTCACCCCACCAGTGTCCCGTACCCTCACCACCCCTTACATGCGCTTACACAGCAACCATAGTGTTAGGGTGTGTGCCGGCTGTGGTTGGGCTTCTTTGCTGTGGCGTGTGAGTGATGCTCTAGGGCCTTCCGCAGGTTGTCACGGCCCAGAGGCTCTGGCACTGACCAACACGAATGGATAACTGTCTGATGTCAGTATTTCTTTGGAGCTGATATTAGCCAAAATGACTAAAGACTTTGCGAAGAATAACTTGATGGAGTATCATAGGAAAGGACTGGTCCACAACAGAAGGGGACATGAGCATTTTGCCTCACAGAGAGAGCCTGGAGTCACAAGGTGGTTAAAAGATGGCATCTAGTTAATGATCTGATGTGGTAACATTTTATTTTTTGGGAAGATCAGTTTTCTAGCCAAATACTCTATTTTAAATAATTGTTGATTAGAAGTAGTTTATAGAA
Organism: Homo sapiens; assembly: GCF_000001405.40. Classification (NCBI taxonomy): domain Eukaryota; kingdom Metazoa; phylum Chordata; class Mammalia; order Primates; family Hominidae; genus Homo; species Homo sapiens. Next base: position 161,098,893 of record NC_000006.12, read on the forward strand.
GTGGAAAAATGAGTTCATGGGGTTTGTATGTCATATGGAGAACAGATCAGTACTTGAGAGAACTCTCAGACAACTTGGCAAGCCCCAGAACAATTAAGTCTCGCATTGTCTTTTGTGTAAGTAAGGAGGGTCTTGTAGGTTTTCCCATTCTGGTTATATTTTGGCAGAGGATTTCATCATGTTCTCCTATCCTAAGTGGAGGAAGAGCTGTTGTTCTCTCTCAATTTCACACTTGTACCTAAGTAGGAGGAACGCTGTCAGTATTCCCATCTTCCAATGCAAGTCAAACCAAACTATGTAGATTGGGGGTATGTGATCTAAAAAGATCAACTTCTGATAGAACCCAGGGCTCTGTGTTCAGCCCCGAGGAGAAAATAGTAGAGTTAACAGGAAGATGATGCCTGGCTTTAGATTTTAAAACAGACTAAAATGTTTTTACACTTACTTTAGTAACAGTCTAAAATTTCTACAAATATTTGCAGTCATTTCACTCATTAAAATAATTAATACTTCTAAATTTTAGTGAGAAATGTCTATAACCTAAAAAGTACCAAAGCATTTTACAGCTTAAGCAGTCAACTAAAAAAATTAACAACATTGAACAAATTCCCATTTAGCTTCCTAGTTTTTACGTTTAGAGCTTTTCATGGCAAATATCTTCATATATGCTTTTATATCCCTGTGAGGGCTGCCAAAACTGTCTTCTTTATTCATACAGTACAGACTGAAGAGAAGTGATTTGGCCTAAAACACAGTCATAATTGAGGAGGGCATTGGCCACCCTGTGCCCCCTGCATCCCACACCTGCTGTGTCCATGTTCACATGAGACTGCTCCCGAACTGGACAATAGGGAGTGACCTCCCTCTTTTTAAAGGTTGATGCACTGTGTTTTAAGGCATTTGTAAGTTGGTGGTGTGGTACATTATGTGTATTTTAGTATAAGAGTTAAATACTACAGTTACCCTTTTCATGGAGTTTAGTCTTTGCAGAAGCAGTTTTTCAGCATTTCATCTTAAACGCTTATCAGTAGCATTTCATAAGTATTCATCTTAAGTTTGTACATACTTAGACAATCGTTGATGTTTAGAAATTTTAATAGTATCATAGCATGGTATCTTGAAGGACATTTTTTACTCAGGATTCCCGTTTACTTTATGACCGTCTGTGTGTGTGAGATGGTAGGTAGAGAAGAGCACAGCCACGTGAAGAGGTGTGGGGTGGTTACCAGACTCCCTCCTGCATTCAAGCCCTGCGTAAGCCTCAGTGCCTTCACAGTGAGCCTGGTTCATGGGCCCGTGAGTCACTGGTGGATTCGGCCCACTGCTCCCGAGGCAGACTTCACATACCCAAGGGCTTGTGTCTCAACACAGCTGTGGGTTTGTGAATGTGCCACGGGGAGGCAGAATGACACCAGTGTGTGCATCCCTGCCACAGCCATGGGGTGTAGCCCTTGCCCGTCTTACAGATACATCAAAGTTCAACTTCACTTGACCCTAGAGGTTTCAATAAGTATTTTTAATTGATTTTACTTGACCTAGGAAATATCTGTTCTGGGCTTAAGTTATCTTATCATCGTTTGTAAAAACACTTTGCAGTGGTGCTCTTGCTGAGGCTTGCTCCTGCTGGCTCTCAAGAGCTGATGGCGAATGTTTGAGAAATTTTGCAAGTTGTTATACCACAGAAATTGGCAAACTCTACAACCCACCTCCCCATCCCCGACATCCCCCACCAGAGCTAGTCGTTCAACATTCCCCAATATGCCACTTCATGAGTATATGTTCTTGCTTTTTACCCGTGCAAAAATCTCTTAAGGACATGGAATTGGCTAGTCTCACTTGTGGGAAATCGGAAAAATTAGAGGTGTTTAGTGACTTCTTGGTCTCACCAGTGGTCTTTGTTGCTGCTTAGGAGTGGAGTAGGCTTCCTCACTTCAACACCAGTGGTTTTCCCGTCAGATAGTGCCGAATTTTTTATGAACTATATGGCAGTAGAAATGTCCCCATCACTTCAGACTTAACAAGTGCTATACTAGATTTGAGGGCTTAGGGAAATACCAGAAAAAAATGCATATTTTATAATTTGTAAATGTCTGTGCAATAGATCATGTTGCCTTCAACCTATCAATGTATAATAAGAGCATAAATGCTACCATACTTCATTATACCATTCACTTAAAAATATATACTAAATGACTTTAATAAACTAATGCCATATTTATTTGAGGTTCTTTGATTATTCGAATTACAATTTTAACACATTCCCTATTTAGTTTTAATTTTTACTCTTTATGGGTTCATTCTGGTTGCTGAACATTTCACTTTATTCTGGAAAAGCACCTCATTAACTTTGTTCTTTAATATATTAAGCTTCCTGCTCTTTTGCACTTTTGCTTGGCTACTGCTTGAGAAACCTTTAGGTATTCCCTTCCATTTTCTTACTGAGAGATTTGGAATCTTTTGGACCATGAAATGATTTTAGTACTTTAAATGTAATTAAGTACATAAATATAATTTGATGGTAACTTTAAAGATCAGCAAGATTTGGTTAATAACAGTTTTATTCACCCTGGGCTTAAGTTATGGAGCTTTTCACATGTCAGTAACATTTCAATAGTGTTGTGTTTTTATTTCTGTTGTTAATATAAGACAAGGTTTTATGCAGGCAGGTGCTCTCAGGCTCGGGTGTTGGCTATGGAGAGATGAAAATGGAGCCCTCCTTCCAGACTCTAGAGCTCTAACAGACTCCAGAGGACGGTCTCCACAGCAGCGCTGTTCACTTAGGGGGCTGATTCTGGTGGGTCTGTCCTGTGCGTTTTCCGCTGCCCACTAGATGCCAGTAGCACCCTCCCAAAAGTGTCTAATACATTGCTGGAGGCAGAGTTGTTCCTGGCAGGCAGAGTTGCCCCCAGTTGAGAATTATTGCTCTAGAAAAATCTCGCAGATCTTTCATTTTAAGTTCTATTGAATTGATAGCTCAATTATTAAAAATATTAAAACAGGGGTTCCAGCGTTCCTGAAAATGATCGATTGGCTTCCATAGCTGCTGAATTGCAGTTTAGGTCCCTGAGTCGTCACTCAAGCCCCACGGAGGAGCGAGATGGTGAGTGTTTTAAGGTGTTAGCTGCATTCACAACCAGTCTAATCATTTGTCTCAGTTCACCAGTTTCTGTTGTTAATGCCTTTATGAGGATTCCTTGAAGATTCCTTTTTTTGGTCCTTTCTAAAGGAATGAAGAGTAAGAAGCACAGAGCTTTATGAGAAGACTTACTGCTGAGCACATTGGCCTTTTAATACAGATGCCTTTTTAGCCCTGTTAGCATTTTATAGGTCTACTTTTGTTGCTTTAAAAATATTATTATTCTAGATATTTTAACTGTTGAATACTTTTATTCATTTAAAAAATACAAAAGTGACACTGTGTTTGTTGATCGTATGTGAAAGTTTTATTTATAATGCAGCCCTCAGGAACCACATTGCTGCTTCCATTGGAGTAGGGCTGGGGCTCCTGAAGCTAACATCTTGAATGAAGTCCCTAAGGAATCCACTTTTTGCACAGTATTCTGTTGTCTGTTACTCGTGAAAAGATGAGTGTAGTTAAAATCCTGTAACCCCATTAACTTCTTAGTTGGTGCAATTTTTAGAATTGATTGCAAAGATAGTTTCTCACACCTACATCAAACACACTAAAAATTAATAACCAGAAAGGCAAACAGGTTGCTTTTAACCATTACCTTTCCTTTCAGTTGTTCTCAAATAAGCATATTTATTTCATAAATCTTAATTTGTATAAAAATAACTTCCTGCAGAACCAGCATATCCAAGAGGAGATTCAAGTGGGTCCACAAGAAGAAGTTGGGAACTTCGGACACTAATCAGCCAGAGTAAAGGTGAGAGAAAGAGTGTTGAAGTTAAAAAAAAAAAAAAAAAAAAAACACGATTACACATAAGGGGAGCAGTTTCAGGTAAAACTTGATTTAGCTTCTGAATTATTAGGCCTCCTCCATTACTATTTTGTGATCTCACAGCTCTGACATCACTTTCTATCATGTACTGTGTTTGTGTACATTTCCTATTTCTAGTAACAAACTACATGCTCCTTTGGGTCTATAATATGTTTTACTCATCTTTATATTCTTAAAGCAACTTAGCATAATTTTTTGTCCATGGTAGGAGTATAATAAACATTTGTGAAATAACCATTCATAAATTAGACATTGAGGGAAAGAACTTACGAAGCATGTGATTAATATTATCAAAAGAACAAATAGCAGAAAAATCATTGGTCTAGTATTTAATGATCTATAAAATGCTTTCATGTCTTTTTTTGCTCAACAATATTGAGCAGTAGGCAAAATAGATGTTCTCTTTTTATAAATGATAGTTTCTAAGCAGCCCAATAATTTGGCCAAGGTAGTAAATGAGAGGGTGAGGACCAGAAGGCACTTGTCTCAAGTCTAGCGCACTCCATGGCAGCTTCCCTTTGAACTTTGTGTGACTGACCAGAAGAGTATTTGTCTTCCAAGGCCTAGAGATGTCTGGAAGGATTTTGTGGAGGGAGGAGACTGGGCTGGCCCTTTGAAGGGATGGCAGGTCTGCAGCAAGCCAGGAGGCAAGGAATAGAAGGAAGTGTGCACCCAGAGGCCTCGTGACTACAGGGGAGAGCCACTGGGCGCAGATGCCAATGCAGGAGAAACTGGAGAGTGAGGGGAGATCAGATCATGGACAGCCATCAGTGACTGCCTAAGTAATGAAGGCTTTGCCCAGAGGTGGTGGGCAGCCCCAGAGGCTCTTGAGCAGCTGGTGTGTTTGGGATGTGGGAGGCTGGGGATGAGTAAGACGCTGAGATAGTATAGTCTGCTAGCCAGAATTGAGGAGAAAGTGGGCAGATTGGTTAAAATGCCATTGCAGAAATTCAGTATAAATAATACGATACTGGACTAATGTGGGATTTAAAAGAGGTAATGGCAGCAAGAAACAACTTTGGTGCAACCACTGACAAGCCTGGTGACAGAGTAGGTGTGTGTTGAGGGTTCAAGTGGGGGAGTTTTCCTAGGCTTGAGCCAGGTGACAGGAAGACAGTTTCTTCAGTGGCTCACATGTAATCAGCAGTTCCCACGGATACCAGGTCTTTGCCATATTTTTCAAATCAAGTACTTTGTGGTCAAGTAAACTTGGGAACCACTTGGAATTATGTTTCTCTTGTGAGAGTTACAGTTCACATTGACATATTAAAGACCAAGGGCTGGGCACGGTGGTTCACGCCTGTAATCCCAGCACTTTGGAAGGCCGAGGCAGGAGGATCACCTGAGGTCAGGAGTTCAAGACCAGCCTGACCAACATGGAGAAACCCCATCTCTACTAAAAATACAAAATTAGCCAGGCAAGATGGCACATACCTGTAATCCCGGCTACTCAGGAGGCTGAGGCAGAAGAATTGCTTGAACCCAGGAGGCAGAGGTTGCGGTGGGCTGAGATCGCGCCATCACACTCTAGCCTGGGCAACAAGAGCAAAACTCCGTTTCCAAAAAAAAAAAAAAAAAAGCAGGCACAGTGGCTCACACCTGTAATCCCAGCACTTTGGGAGGCCAAGGCAGGTGGATCACGAGGTCAAGAGGTCGAAACCATCCTGGCCAATGTGGTGAAACCCTGTCTTTACTGAGAATACAAAATTAACTGGACGTGGTGGTGCGCGCCTGTAGTCCCAGCTACTTGGGAGGCCGAGGCAGAAGAATCTCTTAAACCCAGGAGGCGGAGGTTGCAGTGAACCAAGATCGTGCCCCTGTACTCCAGCCTGGTGACAGAGGGAGACTCCATCTCAAAAAAAAAAAAAAAAGGAATCTTGAGAAATTTTTTTTTAAGCGTTTCTCAGAAATATTTGTCAGTGGAGCCCATGGCCTCACTGCTGTCAAAATCTTGCCCTGTGCTGGGTAGATTTGCAGTGTTGTATATTGAGGTAAAGGAAACAAACTTGGATCCGTATTTTAAATAAATGAGTGTAATAAGAAATTATAACTGGACCATTATAAATCTTTTAGAATTTCTCTTTTCAGATTAACCTTAGAGTCATCCCAGCCTTCAAGGATCTCTTCATCTGAGCCAGAAAACATAGGCTCTTGGGTAGCTAATTAGGATATGGTATGAAAAGTGTTGTCATAGAGAAGTGGACAAACCATGGTTGTCAATTTATGGGTTGTGAACCATTAGTGGGTTGTAAAATTTTAGTAGGAGTGATCAACATTTTTTAAAAAAGAACAGGATGAAATCAGAATCACATGTAGTAAGGGTAATAGCTCACAGAACTGTTAAATGTGTGAAAGGTATTTCTTAGTATGAGTCATGATAAAACAAGTTGGAGAAATAGAGATAAATTGCCTGTGGGAAAATGAGGAATAATGGCAATAGCTAATATTTATTGAGTTTTACTGTGTTCTAGCCTCTGGGCTAAATGCTTTACAGGTATTATTTCATGAAATCCTCACAGTAGGTCTGTGAGATAGGTATTTTTATCTTTATTTTACAGATTAGGTTTTTAATGTGTGAGGAAGTTAATTACCTTGCCCATTGTCAAACACCTAGAAAATGGCGAGGCCAGCATTTTATCCCAGGCATTTTGATTCTAGAGCCCTTTTTCTGTACTCTTCCCAGAGAAGGGAAAATCCTTCTCATCAGAGATGGCTTCCTAGAAGAGGCGTGGCATTTCAGCTGCACTGTGTGAGTAAGATTCACTCAACAGATACTCAGGTATGAAGAAGATACTTTAGGCAGAGGGAAAGGTGTAAAAGTAATGGAAGTGAAAAGTAAAGTAGTTTGGTGTGTTCTGTAAGAGTCTTTCAGTTTGGCTAGTGTGAAAACATAGAAAAGACAAACTGGGTCCAAATTCTGCAGGGGTTTGGATATTTGGTTAGTAGGTAGTGGAGAACCATGAACTAAGTTTTTTGGTTTTTTGTTTTTTTTTTTTTTTGAGACCTGGTCTTACTCTGTCACCCATGCTGGAGTGCAGTGGTGCAATCTTGACTCACTGCAACCTCTACCTCCCGGGCACAAGGGATCCTCCCACCTCAGCCTCCCAAGTAGCTGGGACTACAGGCACACACCACCACACCTGGCTAACTTTTGTATTTTTTTGTAGAGATGGGGTTTTGCCATTTTGCCCAGTCTGGTCTTGAACTCCTAGGCTCAAGTGATCTGCCCACCTCACCTCCCAAAGTGCTGGGATTACAAGAATGAGTCACTGCTCCAGGCCTCGTGAATTAAATTTATGTAGGACAGTAACATGATCACATTTTATGTTTTAATAATATGGCAAACAAGAGTGTGGAATGGAGAGAGGAGAAACTAGAGACATGTATATTACTGCAAGATTTTAGCCAACGTTCTTGGGAAAGGAAATCATTTTTGTGTGACTAGCTTATATTTTATGTGTGTACTGTATAAGGGGTGGCATATGCTGGAATGAGTAGCGTTTGAAGAACTTTAATTCACCTGCTGTTTATCTGAATAGATAATAAGCTTTGCTGTAATGGAGTGCTAATATATATTGCTCTATTTTTATTGGTTTGTCTTTTGGAAACTGACTTGATAACAGTGATTGGGACTAATGAGGTTTTGGTTCTCTCTGCAGATACTGCTTCTAAACTAGGACCCATAGAAGCTATCCAGAAGTCAGTCCGATTGTTTGAAGAAAAGAGGTACCGAGAAATGAGGAGAAAGAATATCATTGGTCAAGTTTGTGATACGCCTAAGTCCTATGATAATGTTATGCACGTTGGCTTGAGGAAGGTGACCTTCAAATGGCAAAGAGGAAACAAAATTGGTAAGGAAATTAAGGAGCATGATGTCAAGATAGTCCCTGTTAGAAGTAGCAATAGTTATACTTCTTTAGGTTGAATCCTATAGAGTTGGCCCTTTTTTCTTGTAGACATAGCAAGTATGCATTGTTATCTTTTTGCAAAGTGGTCTGGATTTTTTTTGGTTGTTTAATTTGTAAAATGTATTCTAAGAGCAATACAAAATGAGATTTTAGAATGAGAAAGAGATTTCTAAATGATTCATTGCATTGGATTCTTTTGCTTAATAACCCTGGAATTTGCCAGTGGAGAGGTACCAAAATTTGACCCATTTGTTCTAGTTTCTCTCTCTCTCTCTACACACGCGCGCGCACACACACACACACACACACACACACACGCAGAACGTGATTTGAAGAGAGACTGGATACAAATGAGGGCAAGACAGTCTTCTTTTCTAAAACATTGCCTCATTAATTAATTTCCAGGTGGAATTGCTTCATGTAAAATAGTCGTAAATTATGTGAGGGAAGAAGTCTTGTGTTTCAGATCCTTTCCCCACTTAAATATATTTATCTGTCACACATCTAGGTCTGAAGGGGGCGAACACAGTTGTATGAATAATATGGGACTTTGTCAGCCTGAGGAAACCTGATGTTTCCTTGGAGCTATCAAGGAGGGCAAAAACCACTGAAAACAATCAAGTACTTTATAAATTGGATTAATTATTGTTATCAGTCTTGTCCAGGCACATATCCTCTTGCTTTAATGTCCCAGAAGGTATGTTAGGGGAATGTTTGCTCCCACACACTCCTGGACATGTGCCAGTGAGGAAGACAATGGTCAGGCTTAGTCCTGGCTGTTTTCTGCTGCTCCCAGCCCCAGCCAAGATCTCCTTGAGGGGTGTGAGGGCTCAGAGGTGTGCACCAAGGCTGCTTTTATTGGTCATTTTCATGCTTCTCCTGGAATTTACCAAAGTCGGTTCTGCTCTATTTAAAGATACTTGTAGGTAAGACATATTAAAGAGATTGCCTAAAACTTTAGTTATCAGGGAACATTTAGAAAAATTTTGGATCTTGCAATAGTAAACTGCAGTAAACATAATTATAGATATATAAATATACGTCCAAAATAATTGGACAGTATTATTACAAGTTTAAGGAATGTAAGACAGCCCCCTGCAGTGGCTGGAAGTGCAGCTTGTTTGCATTGTTCACAGGAGAAGGCCAGTATGGGAAGGTGTACACCTGCATCAGCGTCGACACCGGGGAGCTGATGGCCATGAAAGAGGTGAGTCACCTGGCTCCGTGGGGCCTTTGGGCCTGGCGGCTCTGGGTGATAGAAATTCCGTATAGACGCTGGTCGTGATTCAGTTCTCTGTGCGTAGAGCTGTCTTCAGCACCAGCACTGCGACAGTCAGGACCAACCAGGCAGATGCACTGAGATAACACACACAGACAGTGAAGGGGCTTACGATTCCAGAGAGGATAATAAGTCACAGACAGTTCTAACAGCACAGGTGTGAGAAGGGCCTATGAGGGTGGCAGAGCTGAGTCTGATGAAGGCTTAGAGGAGAGGATTAACAGTAGTGTCTTATGGGGACACATTGGGGGAGAAGATAACATTTATGATAAGCTTCAGAAACAAGTGGCATTGAAACCGCTGGAGGTAGGATGGGGAAAGGGCCAGGGAACCTGAAGTAGAAACAGGACTCACTGCTGTCTGTGGAGACATCCGGTTTGACGTGGAAGGAGGAGAGGAGTGGAGAGGGGAGGCTCCAGCGTCTTGCACTTGCCGTGGAGCCGCGTCCTCCTCCACATGGCGCTCCTCACTCCCTCTCGGAGCAGGGCCTCTTCCTCCTCTGTGCCCGGGACCTACCCGCACTTCTATGACTTCACTCTAGCTTGGCTAAAAACTTCCTTTTTACTTAATTTTTTGTTGTTTTTAATTGACAAATCATGATTACATATATTTATGGGGTGCAAAATGATGTTTCAGTGTATGTGTATAATGTAGAGTGATTAAATCAAGCCAGTTAACATTTTTGTCACCTCACTTTACAGATTCGATTTCAACCTAATGACCATAAGACTATCAAGGAAACTGCAGACGAATTGAAAATATTCGAAGGCATCAAACACCCCAATCTGGTTCGGTATTTTGGTGTGGAGCTCCATAGAGTAAGCCGACCCTAATGCCACTCTTTGTGTGAGGAATCAGTGAGGGCACAGAATGGAGTCCTGTTCTACATCACAGGTCTTCTCATTTCAGAGCACAGTAACTTTGCCTAATTCTCAGGAAATCTCCATGAGTTACATCATTTCTGCCTTCTCTCTGAAACTAGAGGAGTTCCTCCTAAAATGTAAGTTGTAGACTGTAGTCATTAACCCGACATCATAAAGCACTGAAACCCATCCTGCCATTCAGAAGATTCTTCTAAAACGCCCCTTACACCACTTCTTGTGACTTTTTTTCCGTTTTTTTGCTGAACCACTGTTGAGTACACTGTTAAGTAATACTGGTTTTTTTCTTGTATGTATTTAGGGAGCCATTGTGAAATGAGAGAAAATTCAAACCTCAAATTGAGTTTCCTCCTTGTGTTTAGAAATAAACACGTCGAGGGAAAGAGGATAACTTGGAGCATCGTGGTGTAGAGCATGAGCTTCCAGGGGAAGTTGGAAATGGATCATTTTTAATGTTTTTACAAATTATGTTTAAAAAGGATGTGTTTCAGTACTTAATAATGTATTTGTAGGGACAGCCCTGTTGGTCCCTGTCTGAGATTATATAGCAGACTTAATTTCAGAGGATAATAGAAATTGATCCCCTGTGATTTGGAGATGTTCTTATCCCCAAGAGCTGTATAATTCCAGACAGAGGAGGCAGGCAGACACCTCTATAGAGGACTTAGAAACGACTGTTGTGAGACACATTCAGTGCTCAGGATGGCAAGTGTAGTATACCGTTAGAAAGAACATTCCTTTGGGGTGTGGCCTAGGAAGTTTTCCAGATTTTTCACTAGCGTACATCTAAGGAAAACCGTAAACACAGAGCTGCCCTTTATTCCTCCCACAGGAAGAAATGTACATCTTCATGGAGTACTGCGATGAGGGGACTTTAGAAGAGGTGTCAAGGCTGGGACTTCAGGAACATGTGATTAGGCTGTATTCAAAGCAGATCACCATTGCGATCAACGTCCTCCATGAGCATGGCATAGTCCACCGTGACATTAAAGGTAATCCCACACCCGCCTGGCTGCTGTGGGCCAGAGCCACTGGTACCCAGCCCGTGGGAGGTGCTCTGAAGACGCTCATCCCATTCCCACATATGATTTCTCTAGATGGAAATACCTTTCATTGAAATACGCCTCTATAAGGATCCTGTATTCAGAAACAAGGTAGAACTCATGTCTCTCTACCCAGGAGTCCGCTCTTTCTGTTCAACACTGCTTTTAGAGAAATCTGTTTTCCCAAAATGAAGTTTGCTATTTTTATAAGCTGATTTGGCATAGCCCGTGTACTTACCAGACATTCGTGATCAAAGCAACCTTTTTTTTCTCTCGTGTCAGGATTCTTGTCTATTTATATATGAAAATCATGAATATGTAAACCGACAGTAAATCAGATCAGAAGTGCACATATAAATTTGAGGCTACGTTTTTGAGACAAGAATGGGGTTTGTTTACACAAACCTTGAAATTGAGTTCTGCTGAAGGTTATTTTGGCCATGCTGATGGATTAAAAGTGCTCTTCTCATAGCACGAGGGGAATAGCTGGGCTTCTGTCTCAGAACGGTCACCGTGGCATTTGCCTTAACCACGCCATGCCCCTGACCTTTGTATTTGCAAGTCTTGAGGATAATTAAAATGGGGAAGTATTTTTGTGCCTATTTGGCCCTAGGCTGAAGAGTTTCATTCTGTCCTGTAGTCTGAGGCTAACCTAAACACATTAACTTAGGAACCGACCTGACTTCTGACCAGGGACAAGACCCAGTGTGGGAGGTTATTTTGGATTACACCAGTCTGCTTTGGTCTGGGTGTAAGCATTGTTCGTGCTCTGTAATGTGGCTCACCCTGAATCACCCAGCATACACCGGTCTCATTGGCTGCCTGCCTGTCCGCTACCTTGCTTTGGTGTCTGGGGTCATCCTGATGTTGGCTTAACTGGCTCTGTACCAGGCCGTAGCACTGCCTATTTCTAGTCGTTCTGCCACAGACACCATCCTCAGTCTCTGTCCACTGTCACAAAATGGTGTTTGCACGTTTGTTCCGTGGCAGGAAGAGACTCCCTTAGAATCTGAAGCAGGTCAGCTCACTGGTGTCTTATCCAATGCTTTCTAGTTCAGCATGGCTAAGAAGGTACAGATGTACAGTCGCTCGAGAAGATCAAGCTGCCCCTCGTAGTCAATTGTGGGGAGCATCAACTCTAGGAGCACTGAGTTATGAGGATTCGCTGTTGACCTCAGCTCATCAGATGGCTGCTTGTCTAACTCCATTGGCTCTGTGTTGTTGCTTTTCGAAGGAGGTACCATAGAACACAATGCCAGAGATGTGTGACTTAGTTGGAGCAATAATATCTTGCAGCCTAGAGCAAAAGGCCAAGCTGTCCTGAGAGATGAACAGTATTCCCAAATTCTAACTAGACTACAAGTTAAGCATATATGTTGCTTGTAGGAATATTTGAAAATTGCAGAACAGTTTTCAGTCACGTCATATAAATGCAAGGGCCTCAGCTGGGACTCTGAAGAACTGCAGTGCGTGTGCAGCTCTCATCTACATGTCGCTTCCTGTTTCAGACGCTGCTGATTGTACACATCTCTCATTCTCCAGACTGCCACCACAACAAGCACTTGTGTTTTGTATGCAGTTTCTTTTTAAGTATCTCTGTGGGTTATTAATGTTAGAATGTATGCATGTATTTCAGTTCAGAATTTATTGGTCAAGGCTACCTGCACTGGTGTTAAAATTTTGTTGCTTTTTATTAAAATTTGTGAATAAGGCTTACAAATCTTCCTATGATTACACTTTGTAAGTCAAGTTTCATAAGCCTTTCGATTGTTTAGCTTGTGAATGAAGTTCCTGGTCGTTTAGATTACCATGTAACCTTGCCCACATTGTGTTTCAGAGGCTGCGTAACAACTACTTCTTTTCTTTTTAGGTGCCAATATCTTCCTTACCTCATCTGGATTAATCAAACTGGGAGATTTTGGATGTTCAGTAAAGCTCAAAAACAATGCCCAGACCATGCCTGGTGAAGTGAACAGCACCCTGGGGACAGCAGGTAGGGACCAGCCTGGTTGTTCTTTGCACTCTGACTTCATGCAGCCTGCTTGGGGCCTGCATGTTCCCTTCACCTTTGTTTGTCAGTAGAGATGGGAGAGCAGGTAAAGGTTTTCAGTCGTGAGAAGGACCACTTCCTCACACACTTGGGCTCCCACGCAAGAGCAGCTGTCACATTGGTGAATTAAATGACTCCTTTTAGGTTACAGGAGAGAGGAAAGCCTCTTTTTCTCACCAGAACAACTCTTTTGTTGTTTGCATTGTTTTTCTTAAAACTTAAAAAATGTAGACATTGTTTGTGCTCTGTAATGTGGCTTACCCCGAATCACTCAGCATACACCAGTCTCGTTGGCTGCCTGCCTGTCCACTACCTTGTCTAAACAACACTATGATTAAATGGTAATGATTCGTTTTGATCACTTAGTGCCATGAAATTTTGCCTCCTCCTTTGCAGGTTAAATTTTCTATTTTCATTGTGAATACAATTAATTTGAAAATGTGTACATTCAAAAATAGTCTTTTAAAAGAGAATTTGTCACCTAAAAAGTTTGTTCAACAAGTTGACTTGAACTGTCTGTAAATTTTTGATATTTCCCATTACCTAATGCAGGAAGATAATATTGTACAATATTAATTTATTGCTTGGCTCTATTAATACATGTTGATGTGTTTATAACCCATTACTCTCAACATATCTGTGACTTTTAAAGCATACATGGCACCTGAAGTCATCACTCGTGCCAAAGGAGAGGGCCATGGGCGTGCGGCCGACATCTGGAGTCTGGGGTGTGTTGTCATAGAGATGGTGACTGGCAAGGTAAGCGGAGCCCCCACACCTGGCGGAGCAACTTCAGAAGGGCACTGTGCATTAACAGAACAGTAGTTATGGATTGATTATTTATTACAAACACTGTGGACACTAAATAGCGAACGATATTAGATACAAAAATCTGATCCATCAAAAGATTAAGACAAATGACAAACCAGGAAACAAATATTTGTAAGATATCTGCCACAGAGAACTCTTATGAGTGAATTTAAGAAGCATAAACCTCTAATTAAAACACAGGGAAGCAAGCAGTTACAAAAAGCAACATTAAGTTGGAAACATGTCCACACAAAAACCCGCACATGAATGTTTACAGCAGCTTTATTCATAATTACCAAAACTTGGAAGCAACCAACATGTTCTTCAGTAGATTATTCATACAAAGGAGTATACTGAGCTTTAGATAAAAAGAAACACCCTGTCGAGCCACAGAAAGACATGGAGGAACCTTCAATGCATGTGGCTAAGTGATGAAAGATGCCAGTCTAAAAAGCCTGCACACTGAGCGATTCCATTTAACGACATTGGGGAAGAGGCAAAACCACAGGGACAGTAGAAAGATGAGTGGTTGCCAGGGACGTGGGGGAACAGAGAGACGAGTAAGTGGAGTACACAGAATTTTTAGGGGAGTAAACCTACTCTGTAGGATACACTGATGATAGATACATGTTAGTATGTGTATGTCCAAACCCATAGAATGTGCAACAGAGTGAACCCTGATGTAAACTATGGACTTCAGTTAACAGTAGTGCATTGACATTGGTTCATCAGTTCTAAAAAATGGAGCACACTAACGCGAACTACACATAGTAGAGGAAACTGTGGGACAGGGAGGGGGATATGGGAAGTCTCTGTACCTTCCAGTTAATTTTTCTATAAACCCAAAACTGCTCTAAAAAGATTGTCTGTTAACAAAAGAAAACATGAAAAGATGACAGCCTCATTAACCAGAATTATATATTTAAATTGAAATCATTTTTTTTTTTACTTAGCATATGAGTGACTTTTTTTTTTTTTTTTTTTTTTTTTGAGATGGAGTCTCGCTCTGTCGCCAGGCAGGAGTGCAAGTGGCATGATCTCGGCTCACTGCAACCTCCGCCTCCCGGGTTCAAGCAATTCTTCTGCCTCAGCCTCCCAAGTAGCTGGGATTACAGGCACCTGCCACCATGCCTGGCTAAGTTTTGTACTTTGGTAGAGACAGGGTTTCACTGTGTTGGCCAGGCTGGTCTCGAACTCCTGACCTCATGATCCGCCTGCCTCAGCCTCCCGAAGTGCTGAGTGACATTTTTAAAGATTGAGAATACTATCTTTTAGAGAGTATATAAAGAAACACACATGTTTTGGACAGAAATTCCATGTGGTAGGGCTGCTCCGGAGACATTTCCAATCTCTATCAAAATTTTAAATGTGCATAGCACTTAAACCAAGAAGTTTTCTGCTTCTGAAAATGTATCTTATGATGATAATATTAATGAGCAGTTATACAAATGTAAAAAGACACGCATGAACTGCACATGGTAGCTTACCGTACACATACAGTATTATAGCAAAAAAGTTAGAAACCTTCATTTCTAAGTTAAAAGTTAGTGTTAAGTTACTAGTAGGAAATCAGTTAATTATAATGTAGCTATGCCTTGCAGCTGCTGAAACAGATCACATATAAGTGCTCAGTAAATATTAGCTAGCATTATTTCTATTAGCATTAAAATAGAAAGGCAGTTGTGATATCTGTGTTATTCCAGTAAAGCCACACATAAAAGAACAGGTTCTCATATTGAAGAATACATATTGGCAATGACGAAACAATAGTTTAGAAATTAGAATGCCATACACACTTAGTTCCTTCCCCTGTGAATCTCATTTTTCATAGGATCATAATGAAATAAGCTTTGCACTAATGCAATTTTTATTTTTCAATAAGGTAGCATATTAACCATCCCTATAAGAGAATTGGGTTTTATAGACTTTTTTATGTCATTTTATATATTTTTTAGTTGCATGATGATGGCTTCTAGATACTGTTGGACTAAATAGTGCACCCCAAATGGAGTAGGCAAACTATGCTGGCCACCTGTTTTATAAATAAAGTTTTGTTGGAACAGTCATATTCATTTATGTGTTGTCCATAGCTGCTACCATGCTGCCATGAGATTAGTGAATAGTTGTGATAGAGATCATATGGCCTGTCAACCTAAAATATTGTTTGGCCCTTTCAGTAAAAATTTGCTGTCCCCTGATATATATTAATGATGAGATGCTTAAAAACAGACTGAACATTTGCGTTGTTTGTGGCTGTGTAATATTAAAATCTGATTTTTTAAAAACATCTTTTTTAGAGGCCTTGGCATGAGTATGAGCACAACTTTCAAATTATGTATAAAGTGGGGATGGGACATAAGCCACCAATCCCTGAAAGATTAAGCCCTGAAGGAAAGGACTTCCTTTCTCACTGCCTTGAGAGTGACCCAAAGATGAGATGGACCGCCAGCCAGCTCCTCGACCATTCGTTTGTCAAGGTTTGGCAGATTACTGGATAGTCTTTTTCATGTTTAAGTGTTTAAGTTCTGTTTTGCATCAAGACGTTAATGAAATTTTGAAACTTTAAAGTAGCTATATCTGAAGTGGAAAGGAACTAAATGTATTATTATGCCAGGGATTTTTGTATGTGTTTTTTCATTTGGAAAATGTTCATTGAGGTTCTTCCACTTGATCTGTTTTGATGGTGCATTTAAGATACACCAGAGACAGTAAAATGGACTTTTAGATGGGACTGGATGAAAGAGTTTCCACTCTTGAGAGTGTATAGTCTACTTGGAGGGTCAAGACGGTAATGACTAATCATTATACTGAGAGCTGTGATAATGGTATATAAGGTTACTCAGAAGAGGAATTTAATTAAGTCAGCCAATCTCAGTTCTTTTTTCTCTAGAATGAGGTACCTTAGTTGTTTAAGAGCCACAGCCAGGTCAGAAGTGGGGGAGGGGGCATGGAAGACAAAGTAAAGAAACTTGGAAACGCTCACCCTTCCGGGAGAGTGGGATGGTCACAGAGCCCTGTGTAGGTAGATCCTGGTGAACACAGGATGTGGACAAGGGCAGGAAGATAAGGCTAGAACAGTAACCAGGAGCAACATGAAGGAGTTTCCATTTTATTATAAACATAAATGATGACATAGAGTTTTAGAAAGATCACTCTAGAGGCAAAGGAATTGAGAAGGTTCTGATACAGCCAAGGGGTTGGGAGAGGGCGTTCCGGGTGAGTGAACAGCGGCATTTAAGAGTTAGAGTGCCGTGGCTGACCCCTGATTGGATGTGAAAGGTGAGTGAGGGGAGGAGTCTAGAGTGGCTCCCAGGTTTCTGGTTTGTGTCATCAGGTCACAGACTCTATTTGCCAGGGTAGGGAAAGAAGCAGCTGGGTGAGGGGTGGGTCGGGAGGTGGTGGGTCCTCTTTGGTGGATGAAGCTTGGGGTACATTTGGAGCATCTGCTTGGAGATTTCACATGGGCATTTGGATACCTGGGGCTGGCACTCAAGAGGGATTTTGGGTAGGGCACAGGTGTGGGAGACAGAAGTATTGCTGGGAGGGTCCACAGAGGACAAGGGGATGAGAACAGAGCCCTGGAGAAAAGAGCCTTGCAAGGGCCCTGCAGGAGAGAGTCCCTGGGAAAGGAAAGGAAGGGGCAGAAGAGTGGGGTGATGCTCTTATTGGTAAGTGGGAGTAAGGGGCAAGCAGCAGGATCAGCTATGGAGACATTAGGGATTTGTAATTAAATAACAATTTATGTCTTAGTTATGAAGTGCATAACAATTTATATTGACCTGAGAGTGCATATAGGCGTTTTAGAAAATGCTTTCATTAGTCAGTTCCCAGGCTTAACTTTAGAGCAGTAACTTACCTCTGCCATTGTTCATTACATTTCTTAAGCCTTGCCCTCTGTGCCCAGTACAGTGCTGGGAGCATCAGGATGAGTGGATGGGGCCTTCCCCGTAAGACTCATACTGCGCGTATGCACAAGCACACACCTGGCTCTGCAAGAGCTCAGCTCTCTCCTGCTTCCTCACAGGTTTGCACAGATGAAGAATGAAGCCTAGTAGAATATGGACTTGGAAAATTCTCTTAATCACTACTGTATGTAATATTTACATAAAGACTGTGCTGAGAAGCAGTATAAGCCTTTTTAACCTTCCAAGACTGAAGACTGCACAGGTGACAAGCGTCACTTCTCCTGCTGCTCCTGTTTGTCTGATGTGGCAAAAGGCCCTCTGGAGGGCTGGTGGCCACGAGGTTAAAGAAGCTGCATGTTAAGTGCCATTACTACTGTACACGGACCATCGCCTCTGTCTCCTCCGTGTCTCGCGCGACTGAGAACCGTGACATCAGCGTAGTGTTTTGACCTTTCTAGGTTCAAAAGAAGTTGTAGTGTTATCAGGCGTCCCATACCTTGTTTTTAATCTCCTGTTTGTTGAGTGCACTGACTGTGAAACCTTTACCTTTTTTGTTGTTGTTGGCAAGCTGCAGGTTTGTAATGCAAAAGGCTGATTACTGAAATTTAAGAAAAAGGTTCTTTTTTCAATAAATGGTTTATTTTAGGAAAGCTCAGTTATATTGTCTTTTAATGGTTAACACTTATGAGCCAACGCAGTATGATACAGAAGTCTGTCATTTTCACTCATCTGTTCCTCAAAAGGAGGAGCACAATCACGTGTGCTAAAGATGGTCACTGGGTTCGGCGTCTCTTTAGGATCGCCTCGCTGAAAAGCAAAGGAAATAAATGAAGCAACACTAATGACGTAAGGTGGTTCCTTTTAAGTAGTTTCTATTAACCAGCAAGTTTATAACAGATACAAGTTTAAGCCTTGTTATCACATGTTGGGAGTTCACTTTATTTTTAAACCAAGATGTTTAGGTGCTAGGTCAGTGTAATTACTGCTGAATGATCTGATGAGAAAGCATCTTTTTCAGAAGTAAACATTTCAGCATTTAGCTTTCCAAAACAGCCCAAATTATACATCATTGGTGTTTTTTTTGTTTTTGTTTTTGCTATTAAATTTTTTAAAAAGATTGACCATAGAGCTTCCTGAAATCTTTTTGGAAGATCACTGACTCTCACTCCTTACACATAGCCATTGACCCTGGGCAAGTAATTTCTCAAGCAGGTTTTGTATTAATCTTCCTTCAGAAGAGTAGATCCCTTCAGCCAAGAAGTTAATGTCCAGAGAATATTGGCATCACAAAAGGATTTATACAACCACTTAGAATTTTAAGACTTCTTAAAATACAGCTTTTTGAGTTATATTTTGCATAATATTTGAAGGGTACAATTCAGTAACTTTTAGTATAGTTACATAGTTGTGCAATCATCACCACAGTCCAATTGTAGAACATTCCCATAACCCCCAAAAGAAATCTCATGTCCATTTGCGGTCACTCCCCATTCTCACCCCTAGCCTTAGGTAACCACTAAACGATTTCCTATTTCTATAGATTTTCCTATTCTGGACATTTCATATACATAGAGTTTTATAATATGTGGTATTTTGTATCTTCTTTCACTTCGCATATTTCTGAGATTGATCCATGTTGTAGCGGGTTTCAGTACGTCCATTCCTTTTTATTACTGAGACTGTTAGACTGCCACACATTTATTTATCCATTTGCTAGTTGATTGGGTTGTGCCCACTTTTTGGTTATTATAAATAATGCTGCTTTGAATATTCCCATAGAAGTCTTTGTACAAAAATGTTTTCATTTTTCTTGGGAGTAGATTTGCTGGGTCATGTGGTATATCTATGTTCAACATTTTCAGAAACTTCCAAACTGTTTTCCAAAGTGGTACACCATCTTATACCCCCACTAGCAATGTGTGAGGGTTCCAGCTTCTCCATCCCCTCTCCAATACTTGCAATTGTGCTTTTTTTTTTTTATAATGTCCATTCTAGTTAATGTAAAGTAGTATCCTGTTTTGATTTGCATTTCCCTAAACTTCCAAACTGTTTTCCAAAGTGGTGCACCATCTTATACCCTCCGACTAGCAATGTATGAGGGTTCCAACTTCTCCATACCCTCTCCAATACTTGCAATTGTGCTTTTTTTTGATAATGTCCATTCTAGTTAACGTGAAGAGGTATCCTGTTTTGATTTGCATTTCCCTAATGATAGTGAACATCTTTTCGTGTGCTTGTTGGATATCTTCTTTGGTGAAACATCTATTCAAATCATTTTAAAATTGGGTTATTCATCATCTTATTATTGGTTTGTAATAGTTTTTTTATGTGTTCTGGATATAGGTCCTTACAGGACATATGATTTGCAAATGTTTTTTTTTCCCCAGTCTGTGGCTTGTCTTTTCATTTTGTTTTAACAATGTCTTTTGAAAAAGTACTATTTAAAAATTTTTTTTGAAGTCCAGTTTATCAACTTAGTCCTTGTTGCTTGTGCTCTCGATATCATATCTAAGAAATCATTGCCTGACCCAAGGTCACAAAGATTTACATCTATGTTTTTTTCTAAGAGTTTTGGAGTTTTAGCACTTACATTAGGCCTGTCATCTATTTTTGATTTTTGTGTATGATATCACATAAGGGTCCACATTCATTCTTCTGCATGTGGATATTTGGTCCAATATCATTTGTTGAAAAGGCTATTCCTTGTTGAAAATCAGTTGACCATAAATGAAAAGGTTTATTTCTGGACTTCCAATTATATTCCATTAATCTCTATGTTTATCTTACGCCATACTGTCTTATACCATCCTGTATTGGTTACTATAGCTTTGTATTTAGTTTTAAAAATGGGAAGTGTGCGTCCTCCAATTTTGTTCTTCTTTTTCAGGTTCATTTTGGCTATTTGGGGTAATTTGCATTTCCATATGAATTTTAGGATCATTTTGTCAATTTCTACATAAAAGCAAAACAAAACCACCTGTGATTTGGATTGGATTGCAAAGAATCTGTAGAACAACTTGGGGAGTATTGTTTTCTTAATCTGAAGTCTTTCAGTCTGTTAACACAGGATATATCTCCATTTATGTAGGTATTTCTTCAGCACTGCTTTGTGATTTTTGTCGTATACCTCTTGGACTTAAGTTTATTCCTAAGTATTATTTTTATTGCTACTATGGGTGAAAATAATAAATTCATTTCCAGATTGTTCATTGCCCCCCCTGATATATACATATGTGTGTGTGTGTGTGTGTATGTGTGTGCTCTCCACACACATACACACAGAGTACACACACACACATATATATATAGAGTGTGGATATATATACACACACATATATATAGAGTGTGGATATATATACACACACACACAATTGATTTTTATATGTTTATCTCTTATCCTACGCTGAATTCATTTTATAGTTCTATTAGTTGTTTTTGTAGGCTCCATAGGATTTTCTACAAATAATGCTTTCCATGAATAAAAAGTTTTACTTCTTCCTTTACATTCTAGACTCTAGATACCTTTCATTTCTTTTTCTTGCTTAATTGCACTGGCTAGACCTTCCAGTACAGTGTTGAATAGTGGTGATGAGAATGGACGTCCTTGTCATATTTTTGACATTTTTATCTTAGCTGGAAATTACTCATTCTTTCACCATTAAGTATGGTATTACACGTTTTTCATTAATGCCCTTTTTCCATTGGAGGAAGTTCGCTTCTATTTCTGGTTTGTTGAGAGCATTTTTGTCATGAATGGTGTTTTGTCAGATGCTCTTTATTGAGATGATTGTAAGGTTTTCTACTTTACTGTGTTGTAATATGGTATATTACATTAATTGATTTGGGGGTGTTAAATCAATCTTGTACTCCTGAGATAAGCCCTAGTTGATCATTGGGTGTATTCCTTTTTATGTGTTGCTGCATTCATTTGCAGTATTTTGTTGAGGGCCTTTGCTTCCATATTATATGAAGGATATTGCTCTTGTAGTTTTTATTTCTTGTGATGTTGTTTTCTGGCATTGGTATCAGGGTAATGCTGGCCTCACAGAGTGAGTTTGGAAATTTCCCTCTTCTCTGTTTTCTCAGAGATTGTGAAGGATTGGTGTGTGTGTGTGTGTGTGTGTGTGTGTAACCAAATTCCTTTACATGTTTGATAGAATTCAGTAGTGAAACTAGCTAGGCATGAGTGAGTTCTCTTTTTGGGAATATTTTAAGTTACTAATCCAGTCTTTTTGCTTCTTGCAGGTCTGTTTGGACTTTATTTCCATGTGTGTGTGTGTATGTGTCGTCATTTTTTTTTTTAAAGGTTTTTGGGGAACAGGTAGTGTTTGGCTACATGAATAAGTTCTTTAGTGGTGATTTCTGAGATTTTGGTACAGCCATCACCAAGCAGTGTACACTGTACCCAGTGTGCACTGTTTTATCCCTCACCGCCTTCCCACCCTTTCCCCTGAGTCTCCAAAGTCCATTGTATCATTCTTAGGCCTTTGCGTCCTCACAGCTTAGCTCCCACTTAAGAGTGAGAACACACGATGTTTGGTTTTCCATTCCTGAGTTACTTCACTTAGAATAATGGTCTCCAGTTCCATCCAGGTTGCTGCAAATGCCATTATTTCATTCCTTTTTATGACTAAGTAGTATTCCATACGTATTACTGAGTATTCTTTTTATTGCTACTATGGGTGAAAATAATAATTTCATTTCCAGATTGTTCATTGCCTTTTTCTCTCTCTCTCTCTATACATATATATACACATACATACATACATATATATACACATATATATACATATATATGTGTATATATAGAGAGAGTGTATATATATATCTATATATACACACACACACATACATGCATACATACGTACACACTAGATATTCTTTATCCACTCATTGACTAATGGGCATTTGGGCTGGTTCCATATTTTTGCATTTGCAAATTGTGCTGCTATAAGCATGCGTGTGCAAGTACCTTTTTCATATAATGACTGTTTTTCCTCTGGGTAGATACCCAGGAGTGGGACTGCTGGATCAAATGGTAGATCTACTTTTAGTTCTTTAAGAAATCTCCATACTGTTTACCATAGTGGTTGTTCTAGTTTACATTCCCACCAATAGTGTAAAGATGTTACCTTTTCACTGCCTCCACACCAACATCTGTATTTTTTAATTTTTTATTGCCATTCTTGCAGCAGTAAGGTGGTATTTCATTGTGATTTTGACTTGCATTTCTCTGATCATTAGTGATGTTGAGCATTTTTTTTAGGTTTGTTGGCATTTGTATATCTTCTTTTGAGAATTGTCTATTCATGTCCTTAGCCCACTTTTTGATGGGATTGTTTTTTTTTTTTTTTTTTCTTGCTGATTTGTTTGAGTTCCTTGTAGATTCTGGATATTAGTCCTTTGTTGGATGTATAGATCGCAAAGATTTTTTCCCACTCTGTGAGTTTTCTGTTTACTCTGCTGATTATTTCTTTTGCCGTGCAGAAGCTTTTTAGTTTAATTAAGTCCCATCTGTTTACCTTTGTTTTTGTTGTATTTGCTTTTGTGTCCTTAGTCATAAAGTATTTGCCTAAGCCAATGTCTAAAAGCGTTTTTCCAATGTTACTGTCTAGAATTTTTATGGTTTCAGGTCTTAGATTTAAATCTCTGATCCACCTTGAGTTGATTTTTGTATAAGGTGAGAGATGAGGATTCAGTCTCATTCTTCTACATGTGGCTTGCCAGTTATCCCAGCACTATTTATTGAATAGGGTATCCTTTCCCCATTTTATGTTTTTGTTTGCTTTGTCAAAGATCAGTTGACTGTAACTAAGTGTTTGGCTTTATTTCTGGGTTCTCTATTCTGTTCCATTGGTCTGTATGCCTGTTTTTATACCAGTACCATAATGTTTTGGTGACTATGGCCTTATAGTTTAAAGTCGGGTAATATAGTGCCTCCAGATTTGTTCTTTTTGCTTAGTCTTGCTTTGGCTATACAGACTCTTTTTTGGGTTTCATATGAATTTTAGAATTATTTTTTTCTAGTTCTGTGAAGAATTATGGTGGTATTTTGATTTGAATTGCATTCAATTTGTAGATTGCTTTTGGCAGTGTGGTCATTTTCACAATATTGATTCTACATATCCATGAGCCGGGAATTTGTTTCCAGTTGTTTGTGCCATCTGTGATTTCTTTCAGCAGTGTTTTTGTAGTTTTCCTTTTAGAGGTCTTTCACCTCCTTGGTTCAGTGGGTTTTTTTTTTTTTTTTTTTTGCAGCTATTGTAAAAGAGGTTGAGTTACTGATTTGATTCTCAGCCTGCTCACTGTTGATGTACAGTAGGGCTACTGATTTGCGTACATTAATTTTGTATCCGGAAACTTTGCTGAATTCATTTACCAGTTCTAGGAGCTTTTTGGAGGAGTCTTTAGGGTTTTCTAAGTATACCTTCATCAAAAGCAAACAGCAACAGGTTGATTTCCTCTTTACCAATTTGGATGCCCTTTATATCTTTCTCTTGTCTGATTGCTCTGGCTAGACCTTCCAGTACTATGTTGAATGGAAGTGGTGAAAGTGGGCATCCTTGTCTTGTTCCAGTTCTCGGGGGGAATGCCTTCAGCTTTTCTCCCTTCAGTATAATGTTGGCTGTGGGTTTGTCATAGGTGGCTTTTATTACCTCAAGTATGTCCCTTCTATGCTGATTTTGCTGAGAGTTTTAATCATAAAAGGATGCTGCATTTTATCAAACACTTTTTCTCTTTCCATTGAGATGATCATGTGATTTTTGTTTTTAATTCTGTTTATGTGGTGTATCACATTTATTGGCTTGTGGATGTTAAACCATCCCTGCATTCTGGTATGAAACCCACTTGATCATGGTGGATTATCTTTTTAATAAAGATTCATGTTGGATTCACTTAGCTTGTATTTTGTTAAGGATTTTTGCATCTATGTTCATCAGGGATATTGGTGTCTAGTTTTTTTTGTTATGTCCTTTCCTGCTTTTGGTATTAGGGTGATACTGGCTTCATAGAATGATTTAGGGAGGATTCCCTCTTTTTCTGTCTTTTGGAATAGTGTCGATAGGATTGGTACCAATTCTTTTTTGAATGTCTGAAAGAATTCAGCTGTGAATCTGCCTGGGGCTGGCCTTTTTTTGTGTTGACAATTTTTTTATTACTATTTCAGTCTCACTGCTTGTTATTAGTCTGTTCAGAGTTTCTGTTTCTCCTGATTTAATCTAGGAAGGTTGTAGATTTCCAGGAATTTATCCATCTCCTCTAGGTTTTCTAGTTTATGCGCATAAAGTTGTTCATAATAGCCTTGAATGATCTTTTGTATTTCTGTGGTATCAGTTGTAATATCTCCTGTTTCATTTCTAATTGAGCTTATTTGGATCTTCTCTTTTCTTATTTTGCTTAGTTTTGCAATTGGTCTATCAATTTTATTTACGTTTTCAAAAACCAGCTTTTTATTTCATTTATCTTTTGTATTTTTTTGTTTGTTTCAATTTGATTTAGTTCTGCTCTGATCTTGGTTATTTCTTTTCTTCTACTGTGTTTGGGTTTGTTCTTGTTTTCTAGCTCCTTAAGGTCTGACCTTAGCTTTTCTGTTTGTGCTCTTTCAGACTTTTTGATGTAGGCATTTAATGCTATGAACAGGATTTCCTCTTAGCACCGCCTTTTCTGTATCCCAGAGGTTTTGATAGGTTGCGTCACTATTATTGTTCAGTTTAGATAATTTTTAAATTTCTATCTTGATTTCATTGTTGACCCAGTGATCATTCAGAAGCAGGTTATTTAATTTCCATGTATTTGCATGGTTTTGAGGGTTCCTTTTTGAGATGATTTCCAATTTTATTCCACTGTGGTCTGAGAGTACTTGCTATAATTTTGATTTTCTTAAATTTGTTGAGACTTGTTTTATGGCCTATCATATAGTCTGTCTTGGAAAATGTTCCATGTGCTGATGAATAAGAGCGTTGTTGAGTATAGAATAGTCTGTAAATACCTGTTAAGTCCATTTGTACTAGGGTATAGTTTAAGTCCATTGTTTGTTGACTTTCTGTCTTGATGACCTGTCTAGTACTGTCAGTGGGTTATTGAAGTTCCCCCTAGTATTGCGTTGCTGTCTGTCTCATTTCTTAGGTCTAGTAGTAATTGTTTTATAAATTTGGGAGCTCCAGTGTTAGGCGCATATATATTTTAGAATTGTGACAATTTCCTGTTGGTTTAGTCCTTTTATCATTATATAATGTCCCTCTTTGTCCTTTTTTTTTGAGACAGAGTTTCACTCTTGTTGCCCAGGCTGGAGTGCAGTGGTGCAATCTCAGCTCACTGTAACCTCTGCCTCCCAGGTTCAAGCAATTATCCTGCCTCAGCCTCCCCTCTCTTTGTTTTTTTTAACTGCTGTTGCTTTAAAGTTTGTTTTGTCTCATATAAGAATAGCTACTCCTGCTTGCTTTTGATGTCCATTTGCATGGAATGTCTTTTTTCACTCCTTTACCTTAAGTTTATGTGAGTCTTTATGTGTGAGGTGGGTCTTTTGAAGACAGCAGATACTTGGTGAATTTTTAGCCATTCTGCCATTATGTATCTTTTACTGGAGCATTTAGGCCATTTACATTCAATGTTAGTATTGGCCTTAGAGGTACTGTTCTATTCATTGTGCTGTTTGTTGCCTGAATCCCTTTTTTTTTTTCATTGTTTTGTTTTATAGGTCCTGTGAGATTCCTGCTTTAAAGAGGTTCTGTTTTGATGTGTTTCTAGGATTTGTTTCAAGATTTAGAGCTCCTTTTAGCAGTTCCTGTAGTACTAGCTTGGTAGTGGCAAATTCAGCATTTGTTTGTCTGAAAAAGACTATCTTTCCTTCATACGTGATGTTTAGTTTTCCTGGATACAAAATTCTTGGCTGATAATTGTTTTGTTTAAGAGGGTAAAGATAAGACCCTAGTCCCATCCAGCTTGTAGGGTTTCTGCTGAGAAATCTGCTGTTAATCTGATAGGTTTTCCTTTATAGGTTACCTAATGCTTTTGCCTTACAGCTCTTAAGAGTCTTTCCTTCATCTTGACATTAAACAGATGACTGTGTTCCTAGGCAGTGATCTTCTTGTGATAAATTTCCCAGGCGTTCTTTGAGCTTCTTTATTTGGATGTCTAGATCTCTAGCAAGGCTCAGGAAGTTTTCCTTGATTATTCCCTCAAATATGTTTTTCAAACTTTTAGATTTCTTCTTTAGGAACACCAGTTATTCTTAGGTTTGATCGTTTAACATAATCCCAAACTTCTTGGAGGCATTGTTTTTAATTATTTTTTTCTTTGTCAGACTGGGTTAATTTGAAAGCCTTGTCTTCAAGCTCTGATGTTCTTTCTTCTACTTGTTTGATTCTGTTGTTGAGACTTTCCAGTGCATTTTGCAATTCTCCAAGTGTGTCCTTTATTTCCAGAAGTTGTGATTGTTTTTTATTTAGGCTGTTTCAGTGGAGATTTTTCCATTCATATCCTACATAATTTTATTTCTTTAAGTTGGACTTCACCTTTCTCTGGTTCCTCCTCGATTTAACAGTCGACCTTCTGAATTTTTTTCTGGCAATTCAGAGATTTTGTCTTGATTTGGATTCATTGCTAGTGAGCTTGTGTGATCTTTTGAGGGTGTTAAAGAACCTTGTTTTGTCATATCACCAGAATTGTTTTTCTAGTTCCCTCTCAATTGAATAGACTATGTCAGAGAGATCTTGGACTCAAGGGCTGCTATTCAGATTCCTTTGTCCCACGGGGTGCTCCCTTGATGTGGTGGTCTCCCCTTTCCCCTAGGGATGGGGCTTCCTGAGAGTTGAACCGCAGTGATTTTTCTCTTCTGGATCTAGCCACCCACCGGAGCTACCGGGCTCTGGGCTGGTCCAGGGGAGTGTCTGCAAAGAGTCTTGTGATGTGATCTGTCTTCATGTCTCTCAGCCATGGATACCAGCACCTGCTCTGGTGGAGACATCAGGGGAATGAAGTGGACTCTGTGAGGGTCCTTGGTTTTATTTTTGTTAAGTGAGCTTGCTTTGTGTTGGTTGGCCTCCAGCCAGGAGGTGGTGCTTTCAAAAGCGTATCAGCTGTGGTGGTATGGGGCGGATGAAAAGCGTATCAGCTGTGGTGGTATGGGGCGGATGAGGCGGTGGGCAGGGCCTTAGAGCTCCCAAGACATTATATGTTCTTTGTCTTCAGCTGCGAGGGCGGGTAGAGAAAGATCATCAGGTGGAGGCAGGGTTAAGCATGTCTGAGCTCAGCCTCTCCTGGGCAGGGCTTGGTGTGGCTGCTATGGGGGACAGGGGTGTGGTTCCCAGGCCAATGGAGTTATGTTCCGAAGGGGATTGTGGCTGCCTCTGCTGTGTCACACAGGTCACCCAGGAAGCAGGGGAAAGCCGGCAGTTGCTGGCCTTACCCAGGTCCCAAAAGGCCGGTCTCATTCCCACCATGTCCCCTACAAAAGCAGGGAGTTTACTCCCAGGCAGCCAGTGAGCAGGCCTGAGAACTTGCTCCAGGCTACAAGGCTCCCAGCTGAGAAAGCTAGCACTCACAGTTCATCCGTCGGCTGCCCGCAGAGCCTGCAGCGGCAATCCATCTCCTTCATAGGGTCTGTGAATTCTCTTCGTTTTCCTGGTATGTGTAGTTCTTGGAGCAAAAGTTTATCATATGAGTCTCCACACACTGCTCTGTCCATCTGAGAGGGAGCTGCAAGTTAGTCCTGCCTCCCATCTGCCATTTGCCCTCCCCAGACTTTCTCCTCTAGTTAGTTTCAGTAATTTAAGTCTGTAGGAATTTGTCCATTTTAGCTGAGTTGTCTAATTTGTTGACATACAATTGTTCATGGTATTCCCTAATAATACTTATAATTTTTCTAAGGCTGGTAGTGATGTCTGCTTTTGTGCTTGCTTTCTTGGCTAATAATCAATTTTGTTGGCCTTTTCAAAGAATCAAATTCTGATTTCATTAATACTCTCTCTTGTTTTGCTGGTTTCCATTTTTTTTCCATACTAATCTTTATTCTTTCCTTCTGTATACTTTGGGTTTAATTTACTCATCTTTTTAAAAGTTTCTTGAGACAGACTGTGGTCAAGACAAAAATGATGGTAAAAATAATCTTCCAGAGCATTTTTAAAAATAGTTTGTAAATAGAGCTTATATCTCAAACACATTCTAAAGGTGGTGTCTCAATAAGAAAAAAAAAGTAATAATATAAAATCAAGGAGTAGCTTTTTTTTCCCTTCTACATATCAGCCTCAGTCTGCTGGGATTATATTCCTTAGCACAGGGTTGGCGGCCCTTTCCAGGAGAGGGCCAGAGAGTGAATATTTTGGTCTTGTGGTCCATACAGTCTTGGTCACAACACCTCAGCTCTGCTGTTGGGCACGAAAGCAGCCATAGATCATGTGCAGGTGAATAGATGTGGCTGTGCCCAGCAAAACTTTATTTCCAAAGCAAGCTGCAGGCCAGGTGGGGCTGCAGCCAGAATCAGCCAACCCCTGCTCTAGAACACTAAACAAAATTAAGAAACAGTGCATTCTTCTTAGTCTAGCAGAGTTTATATACAAGAGTATCCTCTTTCAGAAGCAATCCCCTCTGGGAGCTGGATGTATAATGCTACCTTGTTTTCTATACTGCAGTAAAAAGGTGGACTACACTCTGCTCAGGTGTGGTGGCTGAGATAACAAGACTGGTTTCCTGGGCTTATACAGGATACTGAAGGCAGCTCTAAAGCAGGGCTTTCAAAGGCATGTTGTGTGGTGACACGGGAAATGAGGTGTCATCTCCCAGGGCACAGCAGCCATGAAGATCCGTGGACATTCCTTTATGTTTACAGACTCTGTTTAGGTTTTAAAAGCTTTTACAAAAATCCAAAATGGCCAAGAAGAGTTTCAGCTTGCTGTTGAAGACTGCATTTCCACCTATGGGAGTATGAGTCTGTCCTTTGAAGCTTGCTCTTTTTTTTCCTGTTAAAAGATCAGTGTATTTTCCCAGAAGGGATCGGTTTGTTATTGGCCATGTGATGAAGCAGGTCACTTGTTAGTGTGGTGTCTGAGGTCATGGCGAGTCACAGATTTAACACTGTGATGGAAATTCCCATGACGTGCGCTGCTTGAAATGTCTGTCACGTCATCCATCCCTGTAACCTAACAGCCTCGCAAATTCCCAGCCTCCCCTGAATTAACAGAAGGGTCACAGGCTTTCCACTCTGGGGCGAGTCCTCTGGTAACCTGCTCTAGTGTTCTAGCATTTTGTCAAGTCGCTTTTTCTCTTCTTGAGACAGCTATTGTCAGCCGTAGGAGCACAGTTCTTTTCATGTATCGTTAGGTGCTTTGTTCCTAGTCTGTTGGAATCATTCCTGTTGCAGAGTGACTTACCGCAGACACATGTGCAACTTCAGTGGTTTTCTAACCACCTTCATTTTCATGTCATCTGTCCTCCTCAAAGTTGACGGGGTTGCTTTGTCACACAACTCCAGGATATACTGTTTCTATTGCATTTTATCCTTTACTCACAGTCTTCCTCCATTGCCTCTGCTTCCACTTCAGAGTTAATTACTGTAAAATATTTTTTTGTTTTGGGCTGAAATCAGCCTCATCATACTGCTTGTTCATGCTGTCTATACTTGACTATTCCTGTACGTATTTGAATATCGCTGTCTCCCCTCACTGTAAGTCATTCATCTCTGCTTCCCAAGTTAATAGTTTTCTAAAACTGTCTTGGCTTTCCCAGGCCTCGCTTCAGTTTGTCGATACGTTTTTAGAGAGTGTCAGAACCGACGGTTGCTGTAGGTGTTCTGACAGTAGCAAGAGCGCTGCATTCTGTGCCGTGGATTTACACTAATCTTCATGCAACAAAACAGACATCCCTGCCCTCATGGAGTATATAGTCCATAATCAGGGAGACAGACAGATCTTGCATAGGTAGTTAAATGTGAGACATGTCCCCACCCTGGCCCCACCCCCAGCGTTTTCTCTCATCCTGGTAAGAGATGATGGGGAATTGGCCTAGAGAGGGAAGTTCAGGCAAAGGCTCTGAGGAATGCAGTCATAAGGAGGGAGAAAGAGAATGAAGCCTGGGGAGAGGGGCGGGGAGAGCATGGCATCATGGTAAAGCTGGAAGAGGCGGGGCAGTGGGGCAAAGGGCTAGAATGGCCCAGACCAGGCAAGGGAGGTAGCAGGGGTCCACTGCAGGACCATTCCACTTTCCTTGCAGATACTGGGTGAGGCAGTGTAGAGACGTGCATTTTTCCAAGTTAAAGTTTCAGTCAGTTTTATTACATCCAGTCCAGTAAGCTGTGCTGTCTAGTGGTATCCACACATACTTTATTAGTTTTATCTTTGTTCAGCCCACCAACAAAAATTTGGAAAGATTGCTACACATGACAGAGCGACAGTACCCTAGGGTGACATGACAGCCCATATATCAGTTCTCTGTTTCACATTAAAAAGTTACCATTCATTCGGTCCAAACATCCACCCAATCCACACGTTCTCTCAAAGACTAGCATGGTTCTGTCCAATACCTTGCTCTAATTCCAATTCATTCGTTCTCATAACTTATTTGAAAAGGCACATTTGGTCAGTCTGATGTCATTCTTAGGGCATCTTTGCTCTCTCCTGGCCATTACTGCTTGCTTTTATGTACTGAAAAGTCATCCATTGAATGGTCTGTTCCTGAATGTCGCCACAAAGCAGTCTGTAAAACCCACTCGCTTTCCCTCCTTAAATTACCTCCCTCCAGGTCTGTTTCCTCAAAGATCATCCCTTAGTGGGTCACAGTAATCATGAACCCTGGGTACAATTGATACAGGCTGAGAAGTAAGAATTCACTGTTCACTTAGAGCAACTCATTCCCTGACCTGAACCGGGTGTGTTCCACCCTTGCCCATGGTTAGATCTCTTTCCTTGATAGAACAAGCAAAAGAGGGGCTGATCCATCTCCCGTGAACATCTGTTGACTGTGGGCGGCCTGGGCCAGCCTTGCTGTGTTTGCCTCAGATGCGAGTAAGGAAGCTCCAGTTGTAGCCTTGGCACAGCTGAGGCCATGCCATTGCTACCCGGAAGCTGGCTCTGCAGCGTTGTGACTTAGACACTTTACAAGTCTGAGCCATCCCGTACTAGTTCATCAACTTTCCTTCCTCATGATCTGCAAAGATACAGAGAGAATGGCATTCCAAAATTCCATGGATGACTTTTCTGAATGTCCTAGAATGTTTGGCAAAGATCTGGCTAAAACTAGTACTATGGAATAGAAAAGGAAAAGTGACATTTGTGTAATTTATTTTGGAAATGCAAAGGAATTATTATGCAGCAATCTTAACTTTGTGTACATACCACTCACCTCCCTTAAAATTCAGCAGAACCAGAGGTGCCAGAAATGTCAAAAAATATCTAGTCATTCCAATATGTAAAACAAGACTGCCTTGTTTTAAAAAAACAAATTAAATGTAAAAATTGTATGACTCTTACCCAGTGAAAAGCTTTACTAACACAGCCCTGGGTGCTATTTCCAGATACTGAAAAGATCTAAGTAGGTGCTTAAGAACTGCTTTTTAACCCATTCACAACCTTCATATTAAACTAGGATGAGGCTGCAGGAGCTGAGGAAGGAAGGCCTGGGTGGGAACCTGGATGTCCTTTCCTGGAGAACAGCTTTGCTATTTCACTGGTAAC